>NC_000020.11:6884516-7036031 GCF_000001405.40 Homo sapiens | reverse complement strand
AAAAAAATCTTCAAAGTTTAAAGTTCAAGCAAATAAGAAAAGCCAGCAAAGGATTTATCCATGATAGGTGTATAATGTCAGGCGATATTAAAGAGAAGAAAGATAGAAATGAACAACTAGATGAATTGCTGATGTGAGATTAAGTAATTGTAAGGCAGAAAAGGGTTATTTGATTTGGCCATTGGGGATCATCAGTAACCTTGACAAGAGCAGATCTAGTGGAGCCAGAGAATGGGCCCCAGATCAAAGTGGACTTAAGTATAAAAGGTGGTGAAGAAGTGGAGACATAGTGGCCACATTATCCTTTAGAGAACTATTGATGGAAAGGGTAGCAAGAAATGGCGGAAGGGGGGATAAAGTGAGATGGAAGAGATATAGCAGAAGGGATTTAAAGAAATATTTAATTTCTTATTTATTCGTAGGATGGAATCACATTTGCACACAAACGGAAAAAAACAGCCATTGAAGAGAGAGAATTTAATTGATCTTGATTGTGCAGAAAACAGAGGAAATAATTGAAGGACTAAGTCTTTGTATTAGTCTATTCTCACACTGCTAATAAAGACATATATGAGACTGGGTAATTTATAAAGAAAAAGAGGTTTAATGGACCTTTAAGTGGGGAAACCTCACAATCATGGCGGAAAGCGAAGGAGGAGCCAAAGGCATGTCTTACATGGTGGCAGGCAAGAGAGCATGTTTAGGGAAACTCCCCTTTATAAAACCATCAGATCTCATGAGACTTATTCACTATCACGAGAACTGCATGGGAAAGACCAGCACCCATGATTCAATTACCTCTCACTGGCTCCCTTCCATGACACATAGGAATTATGAGAGCTACAATTCAAGATGAGATTTGGGTGGGGACACAGCCAAAGCATATCAGTCTTTGAGTAAACAAAAGCAGAAAGATAAAACCTACTTTTGGCAGGAAGTAGGCAGCCTTCCAAATATATTTATAGAGAGGAAGCTGGTAGAGGCAGATGTAGACAAGCATATAAGTTTGATGGAGGGTTAATAAGAGTCAGTTTCTAACTAATGGCTTTTGTTTCCTTAATAAAATATAGCAATTTATTATCTATTTTCATTCTTTTTACTCCTGACTCCTTTCCATATAAACCTCTTAGTCATCCATTAGCAACCATAGTTTCATAAATGTAGGATTGTCACAGCTGCAAAGAGGGTAAGTGAATACTTAATTTTTTTAATATCCAAAAATGATTCTTGAAGCCTTCATGAGAAAAAAAGCAATATATTTGAAACCCACAGATTTTGCTTTTAAAGGTGCAAAACTTATTGAGATAAGAAGAGAAAAAAGGGCAGGGCATGGTGGCTCAGGTCTGTAATTCCAGCACTTTGGGAGGCCGAGGTGGGCAGATCATCTGATGTTGGGAGTTCGAGACCAGCCTGACCAACATGGTGAAATCCCAACTCTACTAAAAATCTAAAATTAGCCAGGCATGGTGGTGCATGCCTGTAATCCCAGCTTCTTGGGAGGCTGAGGTAGGAGAATCACTTGAACCCGGTAGGCAGAGGTCACAGTGAGTCAAAATCGTGCCATTGCACTCCAGCCTAGGCGATAGAACAAAACTCCGTCTCAAAAAAAAAAAAAAAAAAAAAAGAAGTAGAGAAAAAAGGAACAGGAGGAGGGAAAGAAAGAAAATCAAAAAAGAAATTTCTGAAGAAAGCAGAATGAAAACTTTATGGCATTAATAATGATAGACTGAAAAGAGAGCAAAAGAAAGCATCAGTTCTCTCCCCCAGATGAGACTAAATGAGAATGCCCTGGACAATGAGAGAACAGCGAGGGGTGGAGATGTGTCCTTAGAGTGATCAGTAGAGACTGTGATCAGAGAAATAGCCCTGGCAGGTGAGAGGGGATGAGAGAGGCATGTATAAGTAAGCACTCTCTTTGCTAGTCCTGAGGACTCTAGGAGTTCTGTGGAACACACATGCTATAGGTTCCCTTAACCAGACACTGAGTTAGATATGAGCACAGGGATATAAAAGTCTAGATCAAATGGACTTCCCCGGAAAGCTAAGAATTCCTATATTTACCGAGGAAAAGCACAAGACAGGCCGGATCTGAATCATGCTTCACAACAGTCTTAAAGGAAGGTGGGTAAAAGATTCTAACAAAATAGTCACAGAAATGTTAAGAAACTTTTGGGGTGGCGAGTCCCTTAGCCTATTGAAGGAGTGGGAGAACAATAAGGCTGAATAACTAACCATCGAATTGAAGCCAAAAGGAAAAGTCATAACAGCCTGGGACTGCAACTGCATACAACCTCTAAAAGTTGTATGTTGACTGAGCAAATGTCTTGATGTGAGTCCCATACTTATTCCAGTGGCTGGGCATTCTTCAGATAAGATCCTTAACAATTTAGTAGGGTACAACACACCTCCATTCCAACCCCTTATCTGGAAGGTATATGCACTTCTAGATGTGGAGTCCAGCTAAAATGTTGTTAGGAGGGAAATAGATGGCAAAGTCCTTTAAATAGTTAGAATTGCGCACTTGAGTTTCTTCATTTGCACATCCTTGTAGCTACATTTCCTTATTCAATGAAAATAAGATAATTTTCTTTCTATTCCTGTTTACCTTTGGCGCACTTGGCATTTGACTAGACATGTCTGAATATTTAATCATAGCTTTTCAGGGATTTGATATTAACCACTAAAAGGCTAAGAAATGGTAGACTAATTACAATTATGCTCCTTAATACTGGTATTCATGCTGTAAATAAAGAGGAGAAAAGAAAAATATGACCTAACTAACTCTTTAATGAATTCTTTTTGAAGACATGACACAATGTATGTATTCTGTATACACAAACCACTTGAGTAATTTTTCAAACCTCAATTATTTTCAAACTTTATTTCAATCAGAATGATGCTTGTTGAGTTGGATAAAATATTGTCTAAACAAATGCCTTCATCATTCTCTTAATTTAAACTTCGGAATAATTTGTTAATAATAACTATTGTTCTTTATGGTTGGGCAGGGTGGCTCACACCTGTAATCCCAATACTTTGGGAGGCTGAGGCAGGCAGATCACCTGAGGTCAGAAGTTCAAGACCAGCCTGGTCAAAATGGTGAAACCCCATCTCTACTAAAAATTAGCCAGGCATGGTGGTGCACACCTGTAGCCCGAGCTACTCTGGAGGCTGAGGCAGGAGAATCGCCTGAACTTGGGAAGCAGAGGTTGCAGTGAGCCGAGATCACACTACTGCACTCCAGCCTAGGTGACAGAGTGAGACTCTGTCTAGGAAAAAAAAAAAAAAAGAAAGAAAGAAAATTAATATATTTAATTACTGATAATGAGCTGTAAGTTAAAAAATATAGGGGAAAGAAATGAGAGGTAATAGACCTAAAATTATTTTGGAAAGGAAATTAATATTAAACACAGATAACTAAAGTTTCCTGGAGATAAAAGAATTAGAGAGTATTAAAAAAAAAGCATTACTTTTTTTTTTTTTTTTTTTTTTTTTTACAATTTCCTCTTACTTGCTAACTCTTAAAAAAAATAATTAGGCTCTGTCACTTAAGGTGTTTAGAGAACCTTATGTAAGCTCCTTAGGGCAAGACCTTCAAAATCTGAGTCAAAAGCCATATATTCTCTCTCTGGATCAAGTTGATAAGAAGACCTAGAATATATTATTTTGTTTATTTACAGAGCAAAATCATCAAGTTAGAACAGTTTGTGATGAAAATCCAGGGGTCCAGATATAGGCAGAGGCATAGCCAAATACCACTAATGAAAAGCAAATATTAAAAACAGAATAACAAAAACAAAAACACGGATCATTCAATGAAATATAGTGAGCTCTACAAAGCCACCTTTCCATTTGGGAGTCAGTCATCTAGTTTGGATGAAGGGTGACTGCAAGCTGTTTGTTTTAAAAAAACAAGATAGATTACACTGATGCTTCACCTTATAAAATAAGGCTATCAATGTTTTTTGTTGTTGTGTTATTTTGTTTTGCTTTGTTTTGAGATAGAGTCTTTCTCTGTCGCTCAGGCTGGAGTGCAGTAGCTTGAGCTCAGCTCACTGCAACCTCCACCTCCTGGGTTCAAGTGATTATCATGCCTCAGCTTCCCCAGTAGCTGGTGTGCCACCACTCCCGGCTAATTTTTGTAGAGATGGGGTTTCACCATGTTGGCCATGCTAGTCTCCAACTCCTGACTTCAAGTGATCCACCCTCCTCAGCCTCCCAAAGTGCTGGGATTACAGTCATGAGCCGCCACACCTGGCTGGCTTTCAGTGTTTGACAGTATTCTTTTCCACTTGCTTGTCCGGATTATAAAAAGCTATTCCCTTAATATTAAGCATATTTACATTGATCTGAGCATGAATCTCTTGAGTTCCAACTGTCTTTGTTTCCTTTAATAATTCCAAAAACATTTATTGGACACCTACTGGGTGAGAAACATCATGCCAGGTTGGTGTTGTAAGGTACATCAGAGTATTTCATGAAGTATATGTCACCAGACTCTAATAAGTAAATTGCATGAAATGCAACCACTTTAAGGCTAAAGTATGTGCAAAAGTGAGAATTTCATTTTGGCTTTGCCTTCAGGAGGAGTGACCCCTGTGGGCAGACACAGGAACTAAGACTTTCAAGCAAAGGAAATGGCAAGAGCCACAGGGTGGAAAAGGTCAATGAGAATTTTACTGGGTGGCTAGAGTGGAGGGTTCACGAGGAGGATTATGGACTTTGAGGTTGAAAAACTAAAGAGGAAACAGTGAAGAGCTTTGAATGACCCAATGATGAATTTAATAATTTGTTTTATTTTTTTTTAATTTTACCTGCAGTACTTTTCAGAGCCTCTATCTAACATGCTAACATGCTTTTTGACTATCCAAGAAATAATGTAGCATGCCATAATCTCATTTTTTTTCCTCATGGAATTTTGAGTGTGAAGTACAAAGAGACCCTGCCCAACTGTGACATCTACTTTGGGAAATCCTTTTGTAGGCAATTTGAAACTACTTCATAAAGTAATAGCATTAACATATATTGACAGAATCAGACCACCCTAAAACGTATTTTGGGTTTATATCTGTTATGAATGATCTAAAAATCGCCAAATCCTAAATTGGAAGATAATTTAGCATCTTCCTGGTATTGATAGTTGAATAGCTTCTTAAAAAAATTATGCCATTTAATTGTTAGGCTCTGGTGACACGGAACTTACTGGAAGGCACCGATTCCATTTTCAAACAGCTGAATATTTTGAGTTCAAATTTGCTTTCTGGAGCTCGTTAGGCTTTTCTTTTGGGACAGTCACTAAAACCCAAACTTTATTTTACCCAGCAGTCTTTTATGTAGTTTGGAACAGTTATCTCATTTCTCCTGGTCTCTGTTTTCCTAGCACTTCCAATAGTTGATCATGTGGCAGTTCCCAGCTTAGCCATTCCCCTCTGGATACTCCAGCTTGTCAGTGTTTTTCCTGACATAAGACAGTAGACATTGAGATGGTTATATAAACAAAAGTCATGTGGGTTAATCTGGACTCAATATGAAGCTGCAGTCCACTAAATTACTGAAACAATTTTCATGTAAGCTTCTATTTACACCCAACTCCTCCAACCTCTTCCTGTGTTACTAGTTTTAGGAACTTACATTAAAGTTCATGTCATTATTATTGGCATACTCTTCTTATTTTGTTATCATCTTTTTTATCTTGATTCTGCAACCCTCCCAGTTTCAAGTCATCTTCAATTTGATCAGTAATCTTTACTGTAACAAATATTAGATCAGAAAAGAATTAATACAAAACCCTACAACTGGAAACAGACATTACTGTTCAAGTTGTAATTAATCCATTGACCACTCAAATGTTACTTATATACAAAGAGTGATCCCCCCTACCCCAGCCTACTGAGTTATAAGAAACCAAGTCTCACTCAAATCCACTTACACTGCCTCTGCTCCACTGGGCAAAGAAAAGAAAGATAAAGATCATAACATAAATACATCATGTTAGCTACTTGTTACCACTCAGCTTCCAATAGGTCTCAGAATTTTCCTTTTCCTTTTTGAAAACTGGCACATCTATCTGTAGAATTCTAACCTTTTTTCTATTATCTGAGATTTGGCAAAATTTAATGATAATATTTCTGGTCTCTTGTTTCCTTATTCTCTTAATATCCTGGATTTTTTCTCACATAGAGCAACCATGCCATTATTCATAATAATAACTTTTTCTTTATGTTGGAGCATGAGATTTTAGTTGAGCACATCATTTAAACTAATGTAACTCATTCCAAAAAAAAGTAAAGCTTCACTCCGTCATTTTTTTCTGCTCTGAGATAGGATTTCTTAATCTCAGCACTATTGACATTGTGGATCCATAATCCAATAATTCTTTGTTGTGAGGGGGCTGTCCTGTTCTACATAAGATGTTTAGAATATTACTGTCTATTCTACCTACTAGATACCAGTGGCAACATGTCCCCCTTCACACACACTCAGTCATGGCAATTAAAAGTGTCTCTAGACATTGTCAAATGTCCATGGTGGAGTGGATGTAGGCTGAGAATATTGCCCTGGTTGAGAACTACTGCTTTGAACAGAAATAAGAACATGAAAAAAGAATAAGCATTTTGAGTATGTTTTTTCTTCTCTTTTTATTTAATTCTATTGAAAATACTTAGTTCCATTCAGTCAATGAACAGGGCATAATTAAACTAGGGAAATGTGCCTGGAATTCTTAGTTAAATCAAAAACAAAAACCTGCTTATGGCCTTAGAGCAGAGATCCTCAACCCCTGGGCTGCGGTCCAGTACCCCTCACGTTCCCTGGTGTGTGCAAACATTGTCTTTCACGAAACTGGTCCCTCGTGCCAAAAAGGCTGGGGACTGGGGCCTCAGACCATAAAATGAGAAGGCAAGTGCTACACATCCAAATTACAGATAGTGAAACTGAAGTTCAAGAAGTATCAATAATAACAAGAATGATGACTACAAAAGAAATAAAATCTATTTTTCTCTCATACACATTTAAGTCTCACATACAGCTTTCAAAGTTCACAGTCTACAAAATTAACTGCTTAAATTCCCAAACCCTCTCACTTGTGTGACCAACCTTTTCTATTTTCCTCCCTTTCAATCCCAAAGCCTTTTTTTATTGCTGTTTATGTCTCTTTCCAATACCATTCCATGAGAAAGGGCAACACTTCCCTGTGGATACAAAAGTTCTAAGGGTACCAAGAAAAAGAATACAAGAGACATGGCCAGCCACACATCCAATCATTTTCTTTGGGGTTGTTTCGATTAGAGTGTCTGTTGTCCCCTGGTGGAAAGATAGCCTGTTTCTTTTTGCTTTTATTGTGGGTTTATACTTAGGGGCTAGGACCTATTTTCAAGGCCGTTATATATCAACTCTGTCAAGGAGCCATCAGGAGGATGTCATGTATTTTTCCCCCACTCCCAGAAAAAAAAAAAAGTCGGGCCATACAGAGAGGGAGGCCTTGCTTATTTTGGCGAATAGTCACATCAATTTTCTGCAGTCAAAAGGTGGCATGCTGAACATGTTTGTGTCTCTCGAGGCAAAAATAAGATTAATCTTAAGGTCAGGTTTTGATCCAGCGTCTAGGTTCTCATTTTGTAACTACCAAGTTAAAATTCAAATACACTCACAAGAAACAGACAGGAGTCTTACTAACGATATCTCATGTATTACCTCAGAGAGTTCAAAACTTTCCTGGGTCTCATTAGGTCAACTTTATTATCTTTCCTTTTCTAAAAAAAAAATGGAAAACAGAAAAGGCTACTGTTCTCATTGTGTAAAGTGGAGCCTATCAAATATATTAAATTCAATGAAAAATTCTTTGAGAACTTAAAGCGAGCTGACTCTTCAGTGGCTGTGCATGCAAGGGTTCTGCTCATGAAATAGAACTTGACATCTATATTGATAGGTTAATGAGGGAGGAAAAAAATGCTTGCTTTGTAAGATTTTAACTTTATGGTTTCTAATTCTTTTAATATAAACTTGGCAAAAAAAAAAAAAAGAGAAAATTGTAAATCAGAGAAAACAACCTGGTTGAGTTAAATATATTGGCCCGGGTCAATGGGAGTTTTAATGCCTGCCAAAATTGATTTTCAACAACATGTAGCATGTACAATGAAAAAAGGATGGTGTTATTGAATGTATTCAGCAATATTTTAAAGCTTATTCTAGAAAAACTAGATGACTTATAAGCATTATTTTGTTTCCTTGTGTTTTAATACAGTGATCCATAAAAGAAGTGTATTATCCTTAAACCTCTTATGTCTAAGGCTCTGTGTTAGACACAGAAAGTAACCTCAACAGCCATCTCTCCCTTTAGAGATATAACAAAAGCTCTCATAATAAATGACAAGTGCATCTCTTGAGGGAATAAGTTCTTCTTTAAAACAAGTCTATCCTATGGGGAGGCAACCTAAGAGATGAACTTTGCATTGACCTAAAAGAGTTAATTCACTATAATTCTAGATTGGCCAAGGAACACTTTGGCAACATAGAAGAAAGACAGTGGATAAATCGTAATAATGAATATGACTATGAACCAGATTAGAACCATACAAACATGCCCCTTACACAAAGGCCAAGTTTTGATGTATCAATCCACATCTCCTTCTTTGCCAGGGGATAATTCAAAGAATACTGACACCAGAAGCCTCTGATTGCATGTGTATGAAGCCTTGGTCTCCAAATCCCTTAAATAAATGTCACACCCTCACACATGTGTTGGCTGGCTTTGAGGCACCAAGCTCTACTCAATTTCAAGGTGGAATGGATATCCCGCCCTGCAAGGTGCATTGGAACTCCCATAAACCACTTGCCTCATCCTGGCTCAGGGGTTTAGAGGAAATTCAGCAAGCGTCAAAGCAGGTACAACACTATCCTCCGAAGTCTATGGTCTGGGGTGGGGCAATCATGCTCAAGATAATTCTTTTGTATAACTTTCATGGGTCTAGGAGGACTCTTTATAAGTACCTCTTCCAGCTAAGGTAGAGGCAGGCTCACACACTAAGCAGTTGTCCTATACATTCCTCTGTCTCCCACTCTTTATCTTTTGGTATATTTAAGTTGCAGGAGAAATAGGACCAAGAGTTACTTAGATTGAAAATTATGAGATTCTAGGGTGGAGCCTTAAAGTACATGCTAAAGAAATGAATACCTGGAGACACTGAAGACCCATCTTCCTTTAAACAACAGCCTATTCAGGAAAGAGGGTATTGAGTTCAGGGGACTAATTTGACATTCGTAAGGCTATCAAGCAAGAATTGAGTCCATTTTTTTGTACCACTTTTTGCAGAAACTGGTCCAAAATAAATAAGCAGCACAGCTGTGGTGCAGAAAGCCTCCTGTGTAAATTATTTTCATGTGTGTGGCTTTTTAAAAATGAATTTCCATCAATCTTTCCATGGGTTTTGGTCCACATTAGCCCTGACTATAACTGTATTTTTCCAAAAAGTTAAGGGAGGTGACTATCTATCAGGGACCATCTCCATTATAGCTTCTTTTTTTTCAGGTTGGGTTTGAGGCTGGCCACATATTTACTCGATACTCTTAATATACTGCAGAAGTTGGTTT
Source organism: Homo sapiens (assembly GCF_000001405.40). Taxonomy (NCBI): domain Eukaryota; kingdom Metazoa; phylum Chordata; class Mammalia; order Primates; family Hominidae; genus Homo; species Homo sapiens. Next base: position 7,026,443 of record NC_000020.11, on the reverse strand, counting down.
GGTTTGAAGCAATGCAAATGATTACATTTGAGTAGCTTCCCACCTCCCTCACCCTGCTATCTCCCTCCACCTCCCCTCCTCCAACACTCAGAATTCTTGGCTTTACTATTTATAGTTCACAGGGCAGCTCTTGCTTCTCCCACCCACCATTGCTCCAATTTGAAACACATGCGGGGGGAAAGAGAGGAAGGGGAGTTTGTGGGAGGAGAGGTGGAAGAACCACACCCTTGTGAAGCCACCATCCCATCCTGTTTGCATGTGGTTAAACACCCAGAAACAGAGAGTTTGCTGGGACTCATTTCAATACATCCTTGCTCCCTGGTCCAAATACACTTTGGTTTCTTATTGTCTGACTCATTCTGACTTTGGCATAAATCAGTTTCTTGATCATGATGGAGGAAAAAGCCAATAAAAGGAAATGCCTCAAGTCACAACCTCTAATGATTGAAAATAAAGTGAAGAGGAGGGGAAGAATAAAATCTTCTCGCCACTTTTTCAGGAGTTATCACATACTGAAAGTCCTGCAACTGGCCCTATTAAAACTGAATTCGTAAACACTGTAGCTCATAGTAAACACCACACACACACACACACACACACACACACACGAATAGGAAAGGAGGTCAAGTGGTCTGTGCTTTAAGGGCACTTAACATGTTTCTGGAAGGTGAGAAGGTAAAGGATCTGAAAGAGAGAGAAAGGGAGAAAGCGGTAACAAGAATTTGGAAATCTCCCCATGCTATAAACTGTCTGTAGGCAACAGGTGGTGTGTGCCAATTTTATTCAACTAAAAATGACTCAGATTAAATGTTAGGAGTGAATGTTTAGTGATATTCTTTTTATCTTTTACAAAGAATCCTCCTGCATTGCCTCTGTGTAATGTTCATTCAATAGCTGCCCAGGCTCCCTTTCTATTTGTTATCTTGCTGACATTTTGAGGTTTTATACCTGTGTCTACAACTGACTTTTCCTTCATGTAAATAAGTGGCTGGAGTAACAATCATTTGTAGAAAACTTATGAAAAAAAAAAAAGCCCCAAATAATTGGTGACATTCCTGCCATTTATGGCAGGTGAAAATGGGGGAGGATAGCTACACTTGACTTCAAAATGAGAGGCAGAAACATAGGGTCAAACAGACCTAGGTTTAAATGCTGACTCTTCTCATTTCTAGCTGTGTAACCTTGAGAAAGTTATTTAAATAATCTTTCTGAGATTCACCTGCAAAATCATATGGATAAGAGTATGTACTAAGAGTACTATAATAATTAAATCAAATACAGTTTACAAGTTTAATACAGTACAAGATACATAAATGACAGCTATTAAAGTTTTTTGTAAGACTTCCCCCAAAACCTAACATTTAGTTTTAAACTCAAAGGAAAATTCAACCATGATACTCTAAACTGGTTGTGAACGACTTCTCTAATTCTACTTTTTTAAGTCAAGAAGATGGATCTTGAATTCAATGCAGCAATTTAGTGATGGTATAAATTTTCACATTGCATTCCACTCATTCAAAATATGCTGTGTGAAACAAAATCTAATAGATGTTAATGACTACTGCTGTTCTTAGATTTCAGTCCACTCTTTAGGAGAGGACACAGTTATAAACATCTAGCCAATCAATAAGCCTCATCCAAGAATAATAAAGATGAAAAATACCATGTGAATTTCTGTTTGTCAGGAATTGCTATTGAAACAAAGAGCCCTCCAATGGAGATTGGATGATTTCCAAGAGGAAGACCAGGCCAGTCCTCAGAAATGCCAAACCACAAGGGAGTTTCCAAACTTGATTGATAACAGCTGATCACACATCCTACCCATCCATACTCCCTTTTCCTCCACCCACACACACAACAGAAAACAACAATAAAAAAAAAAAAGACAAGAAAGCACAAAATACAAAAGGTTTCACTAGACGTACCTTTTGTTCAGTCATTGTGCTATCTTCTCCAGTCCTCCAATGCCCATTTGGAATGCTAGGTTTCTTAACCTTCTAAGCACTCTCTAGAAGCTAAGTCAAGAAGCATATTACATGGAAAATCTGGAAGATTGTTTCCTCTTAGGAGAAAGCAATAATTTGAATCCTAATCTTCAATTTAGTGTTTGTCTCTGAAAAGTCTTTAACACTTGCTTGTGATTTTTTAAAGTGTGGTCAATAACGTATCATCCATATTTTTAATCTGATGAGTTAAGAAAATTGTGTTGAGAAAAATATAAATTTGTAGGAACCTGGCCACTTTCATCAGTATTGAATATTCTTAAGAAAACCTGATATTTTTAAAAAGTCATAATATTTTGGCCCTGGTTCCAGTTCAGGCAGTGACAGTCATTTGATCATATCCCCTTGTATTTCCACATTTAGCTGTTTTCTCCAATGATAAATTAAAAGAGCAAGAGGCATATTATTGAAAGTGATGGATTGACAAGAAGTCAGAGATGCTTTTTGTCTTGATTTTGTTTTTCCAGATACTCAGTATGTCTTTCTCATTTCATACATCATCAGTGCCTCTCATGATATATACCAATCTTCATCATGGCTCTTAAAAACAATCTAGTAGAATCATTTTAAAAACCCTTCTTCCATAAAATGGATTTTTAGTGCAGCATTTTGTCCTCATGTATTTAACCACGTGTATTAGTCTGTTCTCACACTGCTAGGAAGAAATATCTGAGATTGGGTAATTTATAAAGGAAAAAGGTTTAATTGACTCACAGTACTGCAGGGCTGGGGAGGCCTCAAGAGACTTACAAAAATGGCAGAAGGGGAAGCAAACATGTCCTTCTTCACATGGTGGCAACAAGAAGAGCCAAGCAAAAGGGGGAAAAGGCCCTTATAAAGCCGCCAGATCTTGCGAGAACTCACTCTTTATCATGAGAAGAGCATGAAGGTAACCACCCCCATGATTAAATTATCTCCTACTGGGTCCCTCCCATGACAAGTGGGGATTATGGGAACTACAATTCAAGATGAGATTTGCATGGGGAAACAGCCAAACCATATAATTCCATATTGACGCCTCCCAAATCTCATGTCCTCACATTTCAAAACACAATCATACCATTCCAACAGTCCCCAAAATCTTAATTCATTCCAGCATTAACTCAAAAGTTTAAGTGCAAAGTCTAATCTGAGACAAGGCAAGTCCCTTCTGCCTATCAGCCTGTAAAATCAAAAGTAAGTTAGTTTCTTCCTACATAAAATGGGTGTAGAGGCATTGGGCAAATATACCCATCCCAAATGGGAGAAATTAACCAAAATAAATGAGCTACAGGCCCCATGCAAGTATGAAATCCAACAGGGGAGTCATTAAACCTTAATATTCCAAAATGATCTCCTTTGACTCCATGTCTCACAACCAGATCATGCTAATACAAGAGGTAGGCTCCCACAACCTTGGGCAGTTCTGCCCAAGTGGCTTTGCAGGGTACAGCCCCCCTCCCTGATGCTTTCATGGGCTCACATTGAGCATCTGTGGCTTTTCCAGGCACACAAGGCAAGATGTTGGTGGATAAATTTAACACCATTCTGAGGTCTGGAGGACAGTGACTGTCTTTCACAGCTCCACTAGGCAGTGCCCCAGTGGGCATCTATGTGGGCACTCTAATCCCACATTTCCCTTCTTCACTACCCTAGCAGAGGTCCTCCCTAAGGGCTCCACCCCTGTAGCAAACTTCTGCCTGGACATCCAGGCATTTCTATGCAACTTCTGAAATCTAGCTGGAGGCTCCCAAACCCCAATTCCACCTGCAGGCTCACACCACGTGGAAGCTGGCAAATCTTGGGGCTTGCACTCTCTGAATCCACAACCTGAGCTGTACCTTGGCCCCTTTTAGTCATAGCTGGAACAGCTGGGATGAAGGGCATCAAGTCCCTAAGCTGCATACAGTCAGGGAGCCCTGGGCCTGGCCCACAAAATCATTTTTCCCTCCTAGACCTTCAAAGTCTGTGATGGGTGTGGCTTCTGTGAAGGTCCCTGACATGCCCTAGAAACATTTTCCCCATTGTCTTGGTGACTAATCTTTGGTTCTTTGTTACTTATGCAAATTTATTCAGTCAGCTTGAATTTCTCCCCAGAAATTTGGTTTTTCTTTTTTGTTTTTTTTTGTTTTTTTTTTGTTTTTTTGAGATGGAGTCTCGCTCTGTCACCCAGGCTGGAGTGCAGTGGCATGATCTCGGCTCACTGCAACCTCCGCCTCCTGGGTTCACACCATTCTCCTGCCTCAGCCTCCCGAGTAGCTGGGACTACAGGTGCATGCCACCACACCCGGCTAATTTTTTGTATTTTTTGTAGAGATGGGGTTTCACCGTGTTAGCCAGGATGGTCTCGATCTCCTGACCTCACGATCCGCCCACCTCGGCCTCCCAAAGTGCTGGGATTACAGGGTTTTTCTTTTCTATTACATTGCCAGGCTACAAGCTTTCCAAACTTTTATGCTCTGCTTACTCTTGATTTCTTTGCTGCTTAGAAATTTTTTCCACCAGGTACCCTAAATCATGTCCCTCAAGTTCAAAGTTCCACAGATCTCTAGGACAGGGGCATAATGTTGCCAGTCTCTTTGCTAAAGCATAGCAAGAATCACCTTTATTTCATTTCCCGACAAATTCCTCATCTCCATCTGAGACCACTTCAGCCTAGACTTCATTGTCCATATCACTATCAACATTTTGGTCAAACCCATTCAACAAGTCTCCAGGAAGTTCCAACCTTTCCCACATTTTCCTGTCTTCTGAGCCCTCCAAGTCTCTAGGAAGTTCCAAACTTTGCCACATTCTCCCATCTTCTCCTGAGCCCTCCAAACTGTTCCAACCTCTGCCTATTACCCAGTTCCAAAGTTTCTTCCACATTTTGGTGTATCTCTATAGCAGCACCCCAGTCTCTGTAGTACCAATTTACTGTTTCAGTCCATTCTCCTGCTGCTATGAAGAAATACTCAAGACTGGGTAATTTATAAAGGAAAGGGGTTTAATTGATTCACAGTTCTGCAGGGCTAGGGAGGCCTCAGGAAACTTACAATCATGGCAGAAGGGGAAGCAAACATGTCCTTCACATAGTGGCAACAAAGGGAAGTACTGAGCAAAAGGGAGAAAAGTCCCTTATAAATCCATCAGATCTCGTGAGAACCCACTCCCTATCATGAGGATTACCACCATGGTAACAGCATGAGGATTACCACCCCCCATGATTAAATTACTTTCAACTGGGTCCGTCCTATGACGTGTGATGATTATGGGAACTACAATTCAAGATGAGATTTGGGTGGGGACACAGCCAAACCGTATCACCACACACATGCAAAGAGCTGACCCAGTCCTGAAATCTGAGCAAACTCAAGTGTTCATTGCCTTTCCATGTGTGTACCATTGATTTGGAGTGATGTCCATTTGATAAAATACTTTTCCACTTGCTTTTCGTGGTAAGTTACGAATGATCTTATCACACTGAACATTGGTGCTGAAGATTGGACTAACCTAAAGCAATTATGGAATTGTTTCTCTTAGTATTTACAAGTTAAAGAGTAATACTGATCAAGTACCTTTTAATTTTATTAGACTCAGTTTATGTTCTATACATTTTTGCATTATTTGAAAATTTTAAAATAAGTATGCAATCATATTCTTTAACTAAAGGTATGTAAAATTATTACAAATACTATTATTATAAACCATATATATAAATATTGTAAATTTATAAAATATCAAAGAGGGATGTATGTTTCTGCTAATGGGGGGCTGGAGTCTGAATTCTAGCAAGTTTACTTTCTGCTTATGAGATCTCTTGCAAATTGATTAAAATGAGTGCATTTTACTCTTTTCATCTGTAAAACAAGGATAGTAACAGAGAACCTTGTCATAAAAATTAGCAGAGGTAAAAGAGGGTACAGATCTAGTTTTTGCTGTGCAATCAGTAGTTGGTATTATTGCTGCTGTACAAACCCCATTGCTCCTGGTTGTCTCTTATTCCCTAATAGCAATTTGTGCAGTGATTAATTTTTAAAATCAATGTAAAACTTGCTAGTTCAACACTTGAACATTTACAATACAGACTCAGTCATTTACGACCATTTCTTTGATCTCCAATTCTCCAAAGATTGCTAACTCCTATTAAGTGATCCAGTCCACAGATCTGGTAAGCACCTTTGGATTTAATTTTCCTTGGACAGAAAAGCCTTTGTTGTTCTTTTTCTATATGGTACATACATTGAATGAAAGTTGTTCAACATTGAAGAATTGTTTGAATACATTCTTACTGTCCTTTTTTTGAGGGGCAGGGGACAGGGTCTCACTCTGTCATAAAAGCTGGAGTGCAGTGGTGTGATTATGGCTCCCTGCAGGTTTGACTTCTGGGATCAAGAAATCCTCCCACCTCAACCGCCAAAGTAGCTCAGATCACAGGAGTACACCATCTAACCTGGCTATTTTTTAAAAAATAGAGACGGGGTCTCCCTATTGTTGACCAGGTTGGTCCAGAACTCCTGGGCTCAAGCAATCCTCCTGCCTTGGCCTCCCAAAGTGCTGGGATTACAAGTGTGAGCCACCAAACCCAGCCACACTCCTATCCTTATGAATTAAGTTGAAAATAAGAAATATGGGCAAAAATACCTATCAATCGAGTTCTAAATGACTAATTTCTAATGATCTTCACTAGTAAATATTATTTGACCTGTATCTTGTAATGGATTCTCCCAATTATTGTTTGTGTTAAGGTCCAGAGAGTGTAGTCAATAATATCAATCTTTTATCAATAATTGTACAATATGGTCACACTCAAAGTTTGTTTTCATCACCAGCGCTAGGCCTTTACATATACTTCAAATAAGTTAAATTTTTCTCTAAAATATATCGTTAGGCAAAAGGTTTTGAGGAAACAATTAATTAAATGAAATACCTTGGCAGGTGCCTGCATTTCTCTGCTAACGGATATGCAGTAGCATGCCCAGATAAATGAATAAGCTTCACCCAACAGGCAGGAGTTTATGCACATTTAATGCTTAATTTAAAAGACAACAATTAAATTGTGAGTTTGTCTGGAGTTTTGATATGTACTCACTTGAGGAAAAGGAGAAAAATGCTCAGAAACTTCAATAGAAAAAAGAACAATTGGAATAGTACAATAACAAGAAAATGGAGATCTCTTCAAGAAAAACAGAAAGACCAATAATGTTTCCTAACAGAAACCTCAGAGGAAAGAACCTTAGATATAAATGCCTGTAATAATTGTATAATTATAGCAATAGGCATTTTCAAAGGAGTCCAACTCTTTTTAAGGTGCCAAAGTATTTGTGTGGTATTTTTATTTCTTATTTTCAGATTAATTACCATCTAAACAGTACTGTATGTGTTTGTAGGGCAAATAGATACTTTGCATAATGCAACATATTCTCCTTTTAAAAGCTTCTTTAAATAGGAGAAGAAAATACAAACTGCGGATCAAAATTTATATTCAGAGTCTTAGGAGGAAGTGTTCACGTTGGACTTTACTGGAAGTATTAAAAGAATCTGGTTCTTAAGGCTTATTGTCTAAAGTAGACATTGACCCATATTGATGATTTGACAGGTTTTTTCAGCAGTTTTGAATTTACGCTTATAATTTGTTTCTTTTGAATTCTTTCACTTTCTTCTATACAGGTACACACACACACACACACACACATACATATACACACATATTTATGTAGCTATAACCTTTCACTTAATGATACATTTGATATATCAATGATAATGATATACTTGTGTGGATATCTATGTATATGTAGGTGTATTTATGTGTATATATACATATACATACACATCAATATACACATATATGTTCATTTATAATATATTTAAGAGTTGTTTTGGTGCTTAAAAATGTTTTTAGATACATATTAATACATTTTTTATGTAAGCCCTCAATTTGTTCATGCATTAGCTATGAATTATAACCTCAGACATTTCATTTATTTACTTTTGACAGAAGACAACATTTAATAAAGATGAAAACTATTTCAATGTTAATTATTATTTATATGACACAAAACCCAGTATACTCCATGGGTCAACTGGGTGACCTGCACACTAAAGTGGCATTTTACAAAGTCCACTCTAACTTCCAGGTGCATTAAATGTTGCCCATATAGAGCTGAAAAGTAGTTGATTTTTCCTGAATGGAACTTAAAAACTGAGAAAAACCAATGGACTGCTAACATCTCATATAACTAATAAACTATGAAATATTATTTGTCATTTCTGAGCTTATGTGGTGGCCCTTCTTTATCATTCCTCTGGGAAAATGAGGGTTATTTGATTCTCAAATTTTCACTAAGGCAAGTTCAGTCCTCATCAGATTAGTGTGAAAGCAGGAGAGCCTTCTGCTCAATGAGACCAGTTCTCTTCCAAAACACATGCATACACACACAGCCATGATCCTCTAGCACTGGAAACATTGCAAACAAAAAAAATTCCAGGTAGAATAAAAATGAATAAATTGTAGTTTGCTTAAATAAGCTATTTTTTCTCACTCTCCCCATACAGATATGCAAGGGCCAGTGCTTATTTCTAGGGTGAATGTTTTCTCAAGGTATTTAGGTGGTGAGAGGCTGAAACAAGGTAAGCTAGGCCTGAGTGAAATGTTTAAAACAAGAGTTGTGGGTCGAGCCTTAGAAATCACTTGACCTTAGGACATAGAAGCATCGATGTTGTTTATATCAAACCTAAAACCAAGACATAGAAGAGTAAAGAATCTTTAATAGAGGAGTTTCATATAAGCCTGAGAATAGTCACACATGCACTGTTGAGTGCTGTACTCTGTACTTGTTCCGTCTCAAATTCACCAATTCACAGTATCTGATATAGAAAATCATTCTTAAATAATGTCAAGCTACATTATAGAGACTTTCATAAATGCAGTTTTGTTAATTTTTAAGTACTAGTAATAATTAAATTTAAATAACTAAACATTTCCTAGTAATTACCCTAATTTAGGTAAGAGTAGTTACTAATTATTCTAACATGTAAAATGGTACCTCAAAGCATGTGAGTGTGCATGAGAACTGTTTGTTCTCTTTTCCTGGTTTATTAACTCTTGGAGTGTGTTTCATTCATTCTTTCAATTAATAAAAAGTTAATGGAAAGTCAATCTCTTACTACATATTAGAGGCAGAAAGACAAAAAAAAGACCTTTCTAAGCTTTTATTTAATATTCCTCATTAGTACATGGTAATTTAACATATTTCAAAGCTCAATTGTTAGACATTTAAAATGAGAATCATTTGAATCTATGAGGTTGGTGACAGCTTTCAAATGGAGCAGTAGAGTCTGAGGCATGGAGTGAAAGTAAACATATGGCGAGGGTTTCACTCTTGGCTCCTGATCCCTAAGTCTATTCCACTTCTGTATATCGACAATTTGAAACCAATCAACCAGTTTAGATGTATCTGAGACATCCCTACACTGTTATACATTCATGCATTCATTTATTCAACAAATATTTGTAAAGTACCTATCATGATTCTGTTACTAGTTAGACAATGAGGTTTTTAAAAAGAATCAGTATTTGTAAAGTCTGCATGGGTGTATATAGAGTGACAGGGTGTGCAGACAGGTAAGCCCTGCCCATAGTATGACATATACAGAGGCATTTAGGAGCTCACAAAGGTAGCTATAGCTCTCTGAATTAACTACAGGAACCACCTATGATCTGCGGCTGTGTATTCCCTGTGACCTGTGCTCCTTCATCTCTAGCTTACCATCACTCAGTTGGAGAGGTTTGTGGGGATGAACGAGATAGAAACCACTTTTTTATTATTTATTTTGACTCATAAATGAGACAGGAGAACAAGGGCAATACCAGGAGGGCCCAACCCTTCTAAATAACATATTGGGAGTTGGCTTTCCACTTGGCCTACCCTAAGAGAACTCTTCATGGGTGAATTCTGAGACCTGATCTCTACTCAACCTTAATCTCTGAAAAGCAATCAGTCCTGTTCCTGCGTGAGACATTATACTAGGGAATAAAAGACCAGCACATCCCCGGCAGGGAATCAGGAATTAGAAAATAACCCCTAAGAGTCCAAGGTCATACCATCAAGTCAACTGATAGGTCCTTCAGGGTGGAAAGCACTGCAGGTAATGGCCTGCCTGTAGGTAGGAATGGCCTTTGAGAAGGACTGAATTCTTTGCAACTGTTGGAAAATCTCTACACACCAAGCATGTGCTTATCTCCCAAGGGGAAAGCGTACCACTACTGAACTAGAATACAACTTCTATTCCCTATCACTATTCATAGCTTCTACCGTAAGAGCTCTGTAATTCAGGAACTCTTTGACTTGGAACAGATAAAATTTACGGGAAACATTTTCAAAGCCAAAATGAATTGTGATAGATATTTTCTTGGTTAGTGAGAGGGAAAAGTCTTTTAAAAATAAATGGCCTAGGGAATATTTTTTCACAGTAATCAGTTGCATAAGTTAAATAGAGTTTAATGTTATTTTTTAAACTTAAATAATAAAATGATCTGTCATATGGAAAATTTCATCAGAAGATACATTGATGCAGAGGCTTTTAGTTTGCCTTCAAATTTATTGATAAAAACATGACTTTAAAAAAATCTAAAGAAAAATGCTACCATTTATTTACATGAGAAAAGTGGCCTCATCCAATTTGTTCTCAGAAAAATTTTTCATCTGTTAAATTGGAAATTTGAGTTATCTCTCTTTGCAGTGGGAAGGCACACAGATTTTCAGAGCTGGTTAAAAATAATAGATCAATGGCAATTTGTGATTTTTATGATGATAAAGAGCATGCAAATGAATACAAACAGTGAGCTGAGGGGAAAAGCAAATGTAGTTTTTACCAGACTGCAAACATATATTTCACTTAACTCATCAACAAAGTGTGTAAGTGATGACCCAAAGCATAAAGGTTGGGAAGTGAAGGACTGAGAAAGATTAGGACGTGAAGTAGTAAAGCATGAAGGGCCTGCTTCATGTTGTTGACCTCTGGAGAGTTTGGAGTGGTGGTAATGAGTACTCTTGACTCCATGGTGTTAGCATAAATAATCCCCTGGGCTCAAGTACCAGCCATTTAAATAAATTCAGGAGACAGCAGAAGTGATGTTTATGGGCTAGAAGCCTGGGCTCCTTTTTCAAACAATCATGGATACACAGATCACAAATGGAAATCTGACAAAATGGGAAGAAAACAAGAGAAAATGACATGGGCTAAACGAGAGAACGGGTTAGAAATCTTGGAATCTAGTTCTCAGAAAGAAAACAACTTTATTCTTTTGTTACTAAATTGACAAGTCTTACCTTTAAAAGTCTGTACGTTATTGTTTACTTGAGGTTGTCAAAAATCCATTTCTTTGTAAGACACTTTTATTTTTCAGTTATAATCAATTTTCATTTATCTATGTAAATAATTGGAAATTTTGTTTAAAACCTGTTCTACTGAAGCAAATTTATAAAACAATTTACCTTTTAAATACTAAAAATATTATGCTTATTATATTTTATTAAATGCTACAGAATAATTGATAGTGTAAGATAAGAGCATGAAAATATCCTTCATATCAGGAGTGACTAAGACAGGACTTTAACCATACTGTTGTTAATTTCCTAAGAAGTGAATAGATTAAAAGGAGACCGATGGAAACAAATGAGAAGAAGACTTGAATGAGAGCTAATGCCTCTGAAAAAGCATGATAAATTTCCAGGAAACTATAAAAATACATTCATTTGTGCATACTAAGAAGGAGGACACAAGGTTTTTTTATCCTCATTAATCTGTATCTGTAATTTGGGGCATCATTCTTGCCATTGGTTTAATGCAAATTATAGTTATTGGCCTCTAAATTCTAATCAGAATGTTTGTGTTCTTTTCATACACAGGCTCTGAAATATATTCTGAGCCCTAATTGAAAGGCATATTTGAACTGAGTAAGTCACCTGCACAACTTGAGGTCTGAGAGCTGAGGTAACTAATGCTCCAATTTCCATCAGATTTGGTCTCAACTCCCTTTCTATATGTCTAGTTTTTCAACATCTCTGTTTTCTATCAGTTCAAATTCAATAAAACTAGAATTTAAATCAATGTCTTATCTTCCACCACAGAGCTTGACCCAGGGACTCTTCTGTTTCTTGCTAACCCTGCCCTCTTGTAACTAGTAGCAATACACACACACACACAAACACACATGCACGTGCAAACACACAAATATTCTGTTAAATTCCATTTATGCTTCCTTTGTTATATCTTCTATATTGAACTTTGTATCCTGTTCTCTATGCCATCACTCTATTGTTAACAGCCACATGGCTGCTTTCTTTGTCTCTTCTCTCTCCGGCTCGCTGTGAGATTCTCTTAGTAAATTATTCTTTCTACATCACTTGAGATATACCATTCTTGTGATCTGATAATTTAGTAGTTCTCCATTTACAAAGCTTCAACGCCTTTAACTAGGTTTTCCCACTAATTACTAATGAATAATAATTAATAATAGGGTTATGCCTCCTTCTTATTCAACTCTCTGCTCTAGATTGCTGATACTTTCCTTTCCAAGACTTTTGTGTGTTCCCTCCTTTATGCCATGGCTTTAGCTATAACTCTGGCTGAAGTGCCTGGGCCACCATCTCTACTGGATTGAAATCCAGGCCATCTTCCACTATTCCCTACTCTTTGGAGTTCTACTCTGGTCACCCAGGCTGGTCTGCCTTCTCAAGACTCGGTTAATATTTTATCTGTGTCTTGTCTATGGGACGAATCACATATTTCCCTATGTCATGTTTGTGAATGTTCTTTATCATCCTTTCTCTCTAACTAGATAGTAAGATTAGATCCTGCCTCACTCATTCACTTTTGAAACTCCTCCCTCCCATCACCTCATATGCAGTGTTTTGCACATAGTAGGAACACAGTAAATATTTGTTCGACAAAGAACAAGCAGCTCCACATAAACCCTAGAGCTTGAAGACCTTTTATAAATTTCCTGTTACAGACTGGCCACCAAAAATTTGACTCCTGCTGGTAAAATTTTAAATAATCACACGATAAAGTTTCCCATTCATTCCAAATTACCTTATTGTTCACTTGAAATATAAATGAAACAAGAGTAAACACAGGTACTAATGTTTCCATGATAAAAAATTAATAGGGCTCAATCTAGCAGATGTGACTAAAAGCAATGTTTTAAAGTGGGAATATCAAAATTCACAGTGTGATTGAAATCTACCAAAATAAAAAATGATCTAATTTTCCTCAAAATATTAAAATGAATCTCAAATGTAAAGAAGAAATTTTATGTTTGGATAAATGCATATAATTAAATCTGCATTTAAAACTCCACTTTAAGTGGGCCATACCTGAGAAACTGTACTGAGTTAATTAAGTTTAAACTGCATATTTATTTAGCCATATAAACACTATTTTTATAAAATATAAACTTATGGACCAGTTTTTGAAATTTATGATTATAGAAAGGATGAGTTTATAGATGTTCTTGTTTATATTCAAATAAAACATGAATTGCTTCTCTAGATTATTAACTATGCTGCCTTTAGAATACTAGAACCTTATTTTCAGTTATCAGATTGAAGCTTCTGTTCTTTTTGGGAATTAGAAGGATTTCCAAATGTGTATTTGGACAGTGCTGTCATTTATACCAGTTTTCCTTTTATTTTCAAAACCACAGTTAAATAGCAATCCAGTTTGAACCACTTTTAAAGAAAAAAAAAGTCCAGAAAAATAAAATTGCTGTCTAAGATTTTCTGAAGACTTGATGTAGGTTCAAAGGTTAACTTAAGAGTCAAACTTCCATTAAGCTGACAGCCTAACAAACCTGTCTTCCACGCGGTGACAAGCAGCTCAGTGTAGTTTGCCAACCCCATCTCTGATTATCTCTCATCGTAGCTGCTTTCTATTTCTAATATCTTAATTTTGGATAAATGGCCCAGAAGGGAATGCTGCTTCCATCTTTAGAAAGATATTCATAACTGAGGGTTTAAATCTGCATATATTAATTGTGGTAAAAGTTGTACTAATAGGAAATGACTAATTTAGAGCTTTTTTTTTTTGCCTGCAGAGAAAAATGAACACCTAGATTTCAATCTTGATGCCACCACTTATTTGCTGTGTACTATTTAGTAAGTCACCTCACATTTCTGCAGTACTATAAAATACAGATAATAATGGTTCTTCCCACATAGAATGTGGTAACAGCTATATGAAAAAAATACGTACCAAGCATATGGCCCAGATTTTAAACCACAGTAAGAATTCAGTCAATTTTACTCGCCATTACTGGTATATTTGTTGTAATGTTGTTGTTGTGTTATTTTCATTGTTGTTGTGTGGTCCAACTCCTTGATTTTACAAAAGATTAAACAGTCATAGAAGTGTCTAGTAGTTATAGCTTAACAGCTAAGAAGATCTTTTATGGTGTAATGCTGCTTAAGTTTGAATTCCAGCCTCTCTGGCTATCAGCTGTGTGGCCTTGATTAACTTATTTAGTATTATCACTCCAGTTTCCCAATTGTTAAGACAGGCATAATAGTAGTTACCATCTATTAGCACTGTCAGGCAGATGAAATGGGTTAATATTTATAAAGCAAACAGAATAGTGTAAGTGTTCAATCACTACTGGCTATTATTAAGAAAATATCATTATATTACCACCATCACCACTGTTATTATTAACAGACCTACACTGAATATTGGAGTAGTGGTTAGCATACTAGCTAACATATAAGTTCTCAATAAGCTATCTAAAGGTGGCCAGAAAGGAAAAGGGCCATTCTTACTGTAGCACAAAGGCATAGTCACAATGATCTAAACTTTCATTTAAGTTCTTATATTTAAAAAAAACCCAGGTCTTTGTCCATGTGCTCTAGAAAGAAGGAAAACCTCATCCTCATCCTCTACTCTATGCTGAGTCGATTGGAATCCTATGGTGTTTTGCATTTCTTCACTTGGAGGGGCTTCTATCTTGCAACAGGCTGACACTCACCCACTCAGCCAGTCCTCTCCCAGCACTCAAGGCTGTGTGTGCATCCTCACTTACAAAACAAGCTGACTTTTGGAGTTCTTCCTGATAAGAAACTGCTGTACTGAGATTAGGAGCATCAGAAAATGAAAATAAGAGATACCATAACAAAGAAAGGATCAAAATCGGATCACTGTTTATTGTTGGCCAAAGGCTTTGTCAGTGGCTGGAAGTTTGCCTTTCAGTCCACATAGACCGTGAAGAGCATCATCTGTGCATTTGAAGTCTGGAAAGGAAAAATGAAAGAAGACCATTGATGGGATTTTTTTCTATTTCCTTCTTTTCAAAAGCGGTGTCATACCTATTATGCAAATTGAGAGATAAGTTCAATAGCCTGGATATGCATCTGATGTGTAAATTTAATTAATATTCAAAAGAAACTTCTGAAAAATTAAGAGAGAGAAAAAAACTTGAACATATCCAGAGAATCAATGCATTAACTGTAGGAAACACAAATTTGAATAATAGTATATTTCTTATATAAAATCATGGAGCCCAGAAAGAAGTGATACAATATTTTTCAAGTGCTGAAAGTGTTACCAGAAAGGTGTCGCAATCCATACCCCAAGGCAGGGTTTTCGGATCTTGCTCAAGAAAGAATTTGAGATGAATTCATAGAGTAAAGTGAAAGCAAATTTATTAAGTAACGAAATAAGGAGTGGCTACTCCATAGGCAGAGCAGCAGCTTGAGCTGCTCAACCAAGGATTCTTGTTACTTCCTGATTGTATGCTAAACAAGGGGTGGATTATTCATGAGATTTTTGGGAAAGGCGTGGTCAATTCCCAGAACCGAGGGTACCTCCCCTTTATAGACCATATAGAGTAACTTCCTGACATTGCCATGGCACTTGTAAACTGTCATGGTGCTGGTGGGAGTGTCTTTTAGCATGCTAATGCATTATAATTACCATATAAAGACCAGTGAGACAACCAGAGGTCACTCTCAAGGTCTTTATGACTTGGATCTCATGCTGACCTCCTATCTCTTCCTGTGATTAGAATGCCTAACCTCCTGGGAATGCAGCCCAGTAGATCTCAGCTTCATTTTACTCAGACTCTACACAAAATGGAGCCACTCTGGTTTAAATGCCTCTGATAAAAGGAAAGAACTATCAGCCATGGATTCCATAATCATTGCAATCATTCTTCAGAAATTAAGGGAAATTTGTTTTAAAAACATTCTCAAGGGAAGGAAAATTTTTTTTAAAAAATTGTCACTAGAAACATATTCTTAATAACTGGTTAATAGAAGGTTTTCAAGAAGAAAGAGCAGTAGAATGAATAGGAACCTGGGCATATACAATACACTATGCTTCTGTTCATGAGTTTTACAAGTTATATTTGATGACTGAATCAAAATCTGTAAAGCCCATTTGATACTCAAGACAATAATGTTTCAAATAGGGAAAGTAAAGAGAACTAAATACAAGAGAGGTTCTCACACTTTACTTGAAGTGGTAAAATGTTGGTTATCAGTAGACTGTGATAAGCCATATGTGTGTGTTGCAATTCGCAGAGTAAACTCTAAGACAGCTATACAAAGATACAAACTCAAACTGGAAAATACTATAAGTAAAAACGAAATCCTGAAAAATGTTTAACCCACAGGAAGGCAACAATTAAGAGTAGAAGAACAATTCTAAATGTGAAGCCACCAAATAACAGCTTCATAATACATGAATCAAAAACTGGTATAGCTAAAAAATAGACAAATTAACAGTTATAACTGAGGACTTCAACATCTTATTTTCAGCAAGTGGTAGAAATACTAGACAAAAAAAAATCAGTAAGAATATAGAAGACATGAACAACAAAATCAACCAACAAGATCTAATAAAGGTATAACAAAAGCAAAATGCACATTTTCACAATGCACAATATTCACCAAGACAGTTCATATCCTGGATCGTAGATTATACCTCAAAACATTAAAATAAATTGAAATCATACAATGTTTTGGTTCAACAGTAAATACCAGAAACACCACAGAAACATTTATAGACAGAAATTGAATTGCATTCTTCTAAATAACCCATGGATCAGAGAGGAAGCCTTAAAAAATTAAAAATATATAGAAACAAAGTAACAGAAAAATAAAACATAAAAAAGTGGGATGCTGTTAATACAGTTCTGTGAGGCAAATTTATAGCACTAGACATTTATATTAACAAAGAGAAAAAATTTCAAATCATTAATCTATGTTTCTACATCAAGAAACTAGTGAAAGAAAAAAATTATACCCAAAGCAGCGTAAGGAAGGAAAATAATGAATATAAACACAGAAATTAAAGAAATTGAAAATAAGGAAAATAATAGAAAAGTGAAATCAAAGATAGTTATTTTAAAAATTAGTAAAATTGATAAAACTCTATAAGGACTACAAAAATAAAGTGAGAAAAGACACACACACAACTAATATTAGAAATGAAATAAGTTATCATTGAAAGCTCTGTCAGCATCTGTAGTGATCCTGTAGCTATTAAAGCACATTAGAAGACTATAAGAAACTTTGCCCTGATAAATTTGTCAACTTAAAAGAAATTGGTGGCCGGGTGTGGTGGCTCATGCCTGTAGTCCTAACACTTTGGGGGGCTGAGGCTGGTGGATAACTTGAAATCAGGAGATTGAGACCAGACTGACCAACATGGCGAAACCCCATCTCTACTAAAAATACCAAAATTAGCTGGGCATGGTGGCGGGCACCTGTAATCCCAGCTACTCGGGAGGCTGAGACAGGAGAATCACTTGAACCCAGGAGGCGGAGGTTGTAGTGAGCCAAGATTGCACCACTTCGCTCCAGCCTGGGCAAAAGAGCAAAACTCCATCTAAAAAAAAAAAAAAAAAAAAGAATTGGTCAATTCTTCAAAAAACCACCAAGTATTAAAATGTAACCAAAACACAAAACAGAGTAAATCATCTTAATACTATTACAACTATTAAATCAGTTGAATTTCTTTTTTAAAATCTCCTGAACAAAATCTTCAGTGCCAGGTGGAAAGTGCTACCATTCACAGGAAAATGTTACCATTAAAAAATTATCACCAATTTTATGCAATCTCTTCCAGAAAATAAAAGAAAAACCATCTTTCAAATTTTATAAGGCCAGTATCACTGAAGTTGCTATGTACACCAGACAAAAATTGTAGCAAAAACAAAACAAAACAAAATGAAACACTACAGACCAATATCTCTCATGAATATGGCTGTGAAAATTCTCAACAAAGAAACAGCAAATTAAACTCAACAATGTTTAAAAAGAATTACACTCCATGACCAAGTAAACTTTATTTTAGGTATTCAAGGTTGTTTCAACATCCCTTCAAAATCCAGTGTAGTTCATCATGTGAATACACTAACAAGCAAAAAGCATATGAGATTATGTCAGTTGACACAGAAAACGCATTTGACAAGATTTAAGAGTTTTATTGTGAACACTCATTCACAATAAAAATTCTCAGCAAAATAGGAATAAGAAGGAAATGCCTCAATTTGAAAAAAAAAATCTGTAAAACAACCTGTAGCTTAATACTCAAATGTTTACTGGTGAAAGGCTAAATGCTTTCCCCATAAGATCAAGAATAAGATAAGAATGTCAGCACTCCTCTTTTGCTCTAACCTCTCTTACTCTTACTAGTACTGGAAGTTCTAGCCAGTGCAATAAGGTAAGAAAAAGAAATGAAACCATACAGATGGAAAAGGAAGAAAGAAACCCATTCCTGTTTACAAATGACATAATTATTTACATATAAAATCAGGAAGAATCTACACTTTTCTAGAACTAATAATTGAACTTCAGCAAGATTACAGGATATAGAATAAATACCCAAAAATCAATCTTATTTCTGTATACTAACAATGAATATGTAGAAACAGAAATTTAAAGCAATATTGTTTGCAATCACTACAAAGAAAATTAAATACTTAGATATAAAGTTAACAAAACATATACAGGACAAATATGCTGAAAATTATAAAATGCCAATGAAAGAAGTCAAAGACAAAAAATGCTCATGGATTTTATGACTCAATATAATAAAGAGGTCAATTCTTCCCAAATGATATATAGGTTTTATGCAATTTCCTATCAAAATTCCAGCAGCTTTTAAAAAATTGACAAATAGTAATTACATATATATTTATGGGGTAGAATGTGACGTTGTGATGTATGTATGCACTGTGGAATGATAAAATCAAGCTAATTAACATATCTATCAACTCACATAATAATCATTTATTTGTGGTGAGAACATTTAAAATCTACTCTTTCAGTAATTTTGAAATATACAATATTGTTAACTATAGTCACTATGGTGTGCCATAGTTCAATACAACTTATTTCTCTTAATCGAAACTTTGTACTCTTGACCAACATCTTTCCTTTCCTCATCTACCACCTTCCCCCAACCCTGCCAGCCTCTGCTAACAACCAGTCTACTTGCTACTTCTATTAGTTTGACTTTTAAAAATTTAACATACGTATGAGACCATGCAGTGTTTGTCTTTATGTGCCTGGTTTATTTCACTTAGCATAGTGGCCTTCAGGTTCAGCCATGTTGTCAAAAATAACAGGATTTTTTTTTCCTTTTAAGGCTGAATAGTATTCCATTGTGTATATCTGTTAAATAGATTTTTTCCCCCATTGCATTGCTTTTCCATGTTTGTCAAAATTAAGTTAGACTTATTTGTTTGTGTCTATTTCTGGGTGTTTCATTTTATTTCTTTGAATTATGTATCTATCCCTCTGCTGATACCACATCATCTTCATTACTGTGGCTATAGGGTAAGCCTAAACACTGGGTTCAGTGATTCCTTCCACTTTACTTTCCTTTGTCAAGATTGTTTTAGCTAGTCTAGGACTGTATTTTCACATATATCTATTGGCTATTTATATGTCTTCTTTTGAGAAATATCTACTCAGGTCCTTTGCCCATTTTTAGATAGGATTATTGGTTTTCTTGCTGTTAAGTTGTTTGAGTTCCTTACATATTTTGGATATTATTCCCTTATCAGATGTATGATTTGCAAATATGTTCTCTCAATCCATGGCTTCTGTCTTCACTCTATTATTTCCTTTGCTGTGGAGAAGCTTTTTAGTTTGATGTAATCTCATTTGTCCATTTTTGCTTGTTGCCTATGTTTTTGGGGTCATATCAAAGAAATTATTGCTCAGGCCAATGTCTTGGAGATTTTCCTCCATGTTTTCTTATAGTTTTAGAGATTCACATCTTACATTTAAGTCTTTAATCCATTTTGAGTTAATTTTTGTATATGGTAAAAAAGGGTCCAGTTTCATTCTTCTGCATGTGGATATCCAGTTTTTCCAACACCATTTATTGAAGAGATTTCCCTTTCCCCATTGTGTATTGTTGGCACCTTTGTCAAAAATCGATTGAGAGTAAATGTGTAAATTTATTTCTGGGCTGTCTCTCCACTTACATTTATCAATATGTCTATTTTTATGTCAGTATCATTTTTTACATTAATATAGCTTTGTAATATTTTTGAGATCAGGTAATGTACTGCCCCCAACTCTGTTCTTTTGGCTAAAGATTTCTTTGGCATTTGGGTTTTTTTTTTGTGGTTTTATGTGAATTTTTGAGATTATTTTGTCTATTTCTATAAAAAGGACATTGGAATTTTATAGGGTTTTCATTGAAATTTTTAAATCACTTCAGGTAGTAATTTTGTTTAATCTATGAACATGAAATATCTTTCTATTTATTTGTATTGTCATCATTTATTTTCACCAATAATTTATAGTTTTCAGCATACAAATCTTTCACTTTCTTACTTTCTTTTTTTTTTTTTTTTTTTTTTTTTTTGAGACACACAGTTTTACTGTGTCACCCAGGCTGGAGTGCAGTGGTGCAATCATAGCTCACTGCAACCTCTGCCTCCCGGGTTCAAGCGATTATCGTGCCTCAGCCTCCCGAGTAGCTGGGATTAGAAGCGTGTGCCACCACACCCAGCTAATTTTTGTATTATTAGTAGAGATGGGGTTTCATCATGTTATCCAGACTGGTCTCGAATTCCTGACCTCAAATGATCCACCTGCCTCGGCCACCCAAAGTGCTGGGATTACAGGCATGAGCCACCATGTCCAGCACACTTTCATGGTTAAGTCTACTCTTCAGTATTTTTAATGCTATTGTTAATAAGATTGTTTTCTTAATTTATTTTTCATATTGTTTGTTGTTCCAGTAACTTATTTAGAGACATGGACAAGATTTTTCTAAGATGCATAGAGAAAAATGCAGATCATAGAACAGTTAAAAAATAATCTTGACAAAGGAGAGTAAAGTGGGAAGAATCACAGGGCCTGGTGTTTACTCTTACTCTGTAGCCACAACAAGACAATGTGGCAGAGGGATAGATACCTAGTTTAACATGACAAAACAGAAAACCCAGAATAGACTCACATACATAAATGTAACTTAATTTTGATGAACGTACAAAAGCAATTCAATGCGAGATGGATAGCTTTTTTAACATATGGTAATGGACCAACTGAACATCTGTTGGCCACAAATGAACTTCAACTTCAACTCCAAAATTTACATAAAAATTAACTAAAGTGAATCGTGAACTTAAATGCCAAACATATAACTATAAAGCTTTGAGAAAAAGAAGAAATTTTTCAGGATTTAGGACTAAGCAGAGTACTTAGGCAGCACCAAAACCACAGTCTGTCAAAGAAAAAATTGATAAATTGGACCTCATCAAAATTAAAAACATTTGCTCTACAGAAGGCCCTATTAAAAGGATGAAAGCAACCAATAGAGCTGGAGAAAATGTTTGTAGACTACATATCCCACAAAAGGCTAGTATCTAAAAATATATAAAGTACACTCAAAACTCAACACTAAAAGCAAACAATTACCTAGAACATGAATAACAACACAAGAAATTATTTTGGAAGTGGAATTGTATGTATCTTGACTGTGGTGATGATATACAAATTTTCACATGTGATAAAATCACATAGACTTAAATGTGCATGGATGTGTATGTATGTACACATGTACACACACTTTGCTACACATTATCACAAGTAATACTGAAAAGTCAATAAATTCAGTGGATTGCATCAATGTCAGTATCCTGGTTGTGGTATTATATTATAGTCCTGCAAGATATTACTACTGAGAGCAACTAGGTAAAGGGTACACAGTACTTTTCTGTATTATATTTTAGAATGGAATGTGAATCTACAACTAACTTGAAACAAGAAATTTAATTTAAAAAATTGTCACAGATGAAGGACCATGTTAAGAACAGCATTAATTATCTACCTGGAAATAGAACCTTTAGAAACGTCTGGCTATTTGCATTAATAATTCCCTCATATCCTTTCAATACAGAAAAATATTAAGTCATTGAGTTTATAACTTCTTAAACAAAACTGATACCAGAATTGTTGGCATTATTGTAGTACTGCCCATATATATTTAAAACATAGAGCCCTGTAAAGACACTCATTATAACCACAAAATGGCCTTTCATCCTATACTCTGAGTCACATCACCTAAACATCAAGGGAGCATAACCTGTGAGGTAATACAAAACAGGGACAGTCATATAAGGTACCATTCACCCAGGGTAAAGGAGTCCAGGTGATGTAATCAAAGAAGCCTGAAGTGAAGGAAATGGCAAGTCAAGTCTGCAGGAAGTGCTGGGTCACAGTTGGAGTCATTCCATTTGTCTAGTATGAGTTGCGTGGTCAGAAAATGCAAGAGCTCTTCTGTTTCCTGTCTAATTTTCAACAGCAACATCTTGGGATGTTCAGAAAGAGTGTCTAATAGATCTTGGCTTATGGCTAGAAGCAAGAACATCAGAAGTCTGAAAATACTACATGTTGTGTAGCCTTTCCCAGCACTTTAAACATACAACTGGAAGATAAAGTAGAGTCCATGTGCTGATCTCACTCTACCCATCCAAGAATAGTGCTAAATACTGTAGTAGAGGGTAGATTTACTCTGGGATCAATGTACTTTCCAAATGTATGGTTATTTGGATCTGCTTAATAATTTAAAAGGCCCTTTTTTCTCATCTGTATGGTAATGACCTGTTAATTTATCTGACTTCCAGTGGATCAATTATTTCAATGTTTTGGTGGGTCCCCAAAATAATTTGAAAAGCACAATTCAAAAGTAAGTATCTATACCTGCATCTGCAAAGATGTTGGCTAGAGAGGCAAGGAATGTTGTTGGTAGGGACTCAATACTTATTTCTTCAATGAATGAATGAATTGAATTGAGATATACATAATAACACACATCTCTATGCTTTTATTCCACCTCTAATGGCCGTCTGTTTACTCATTCCAAAACTCTTCATTGTTACATTGTCTAAGATCCTATGTGGATTATTAGCATAAAAACATATTCTAGGGACTTGTAGTTTAAATAAGCCCACTGTTATGTTAGATGTATTATATTGTAAGAAAGCCACAGAGCAAATGCCTTAGTAATTTAGAAGAGAAACAGACTACTTTATTCTAGGGAAGCCACAAGAGACTTTGGGAATCTTAAGGTAAAAATTGCATCTGCAAAATTTACAGTAAAAATTTATACTGCAAAGAGGGGTGACATAATTTGGGTGGATGAAGGAGTGGTATCACAGAAAAAATTAATAAATAAAACTAATACTGACTGTTTAAAATGTACTAGATATTGGGCTCAAGGATTTATATGCATTATCTCATTTACTCTTCACAAAACCTACAGATGATTCTGTTTTATCAAAGAGTTGACTGAGCATCAGACAGGTGAAGCAATGTGCCTCGGTCACACAGCATGAGGTGTAGTTGATATTTAAATTCAGATCCACGTAGTATCAAATTCCATGTCATAACTTCTGAGGCACACTGTCTCCCAAATAAAGAAATCAGACTAGATATTTTAAGATCCATGATAGCACCAAAATTCTGTAATTCTAAATGCTGTATAAAAGAATCATAATCTGCAAAAAAAATTATCTTTTAAATAGAACAGACTATACACAGCCACTGGACATTTCATTACCTGCCCCTTTCCCCTCCAAACCTGTCAACTTTTCCTTTCTTGTTTATGTTTTGTTTTTGTTTTTTGAGTGAGAAGGTAGAGAATCACAAGCAGAGCTATGGTGTTACTTATGGCATATTTTAGAATTAAAAAAAAAAACCTCAGTGGTATTGATGCAGGGGCAGAATATCACTGGTGAATTATAGCACACTATAATATGGTGGAAGAGAATGAGAATATTTTACCTTTTTTCTTACTAAATGATATGAAAACTTGATTTTAACATAAAATGAACACATTTCTTTTTTCTTCTCTCTGCCTTTCTTCCCATAAGAAATGGAGAGGGAAAGAATAGTCTATTGCTTTATTTAGGTAGTGTATTAGTCCGTTTTCACACTGCTGATAAAGACATACTCGAGACTGGGTAATTTATAAAGAAAAAGAGATTTGGCGGGGCACGGTGGCTCACGCCTGTAATCCCAGCACTTTGGGAGGCTGAGGCAGGTGGATCACAATGGTCCCAATGGTCACAATGATCACAATGGTCAGGAGATCGAGACCATCCTGGCTAACACGGTGAAACCCCATCTCTACTAAAAAACACACACACAAAAAAAATTAGCCGGGCGTGGTGGTGGGCGCCTGTAGTCCCAGCTACTCGGGAGGCTGAGGCAGGAGAATGGCGTGAACCCGGGAGGCAGAGCGTGCAGTGAGCCGAGATCGCGCCACTGCCCTCCAGCCTGGGGGACAGAGCGAGACTCAGTCTAAAAAAAAAAGAAAAGCGAAAGAGATTTAATGGGCTGACAGTTCTACTTGGCTGGGGAGGCCTCACAATCATGGTGGAAGGAGAAAAGCACGCTTATAAGGCGGCAGACAAGAGAGAATGAGAGCCAAGTGAAAGGGGTTACCCTTCATAAAATCGTCAGATCTTGTGAGACTTATTCATTACCACGAGAACAGTATGGGGGAAACCGCCCTGATGATTCAATTATCTCCTACCAGGTCCCTCCCACAACACGTGGGAATTATGGGAGCTGCAATTCAAGATGAGATTTGAGTGGAGACACAGCCAAACCATATCAGGTAGCTGCTCTTTCTCCTTTTCCTTTGCAACATCTTCAATATTATAATCATACCATTTTATCCACGCAACACTGCGTATATTTTTCAAGTTTTGGTTGCCTTTTCTTTCACCTGAACCATACTTTATTTCACCTTGAAGATGTCATATTAAGTAAAAGGTATTTCAGGAGATGATTACTTTTCCTCATTATCTTCCAGAGTTGCAATAAAACATTGGAGTTTTTAAGACCATCCATGAATGGGGAAAACAGAATTCTACATTGCTTTCAGAAAGTGCATAATTCCTTTAAAATATTTTCAGTTTATTCTTATTCTCATTAAAGTGAACTGAAAACAAATCTACTCTTTTATTAACTCAGTTATGTATTCAATATTTACTCATTGTTTATCCAATTCAAAAAATATTTGATGAATAAATGAGTGAAGAATTGAATAAAAAGTGTTGTATTTAACCAATTGTCCATTGACTGGAACCTTCAAGATTCAATAATAATCTCAAGAGATGTGAGTGGAATCACACAGTGTAGATGCTGTTAATTTTGTTTTAAAAAAAAGAAGGATATTATTGTCCATAGACAAATAATGTAGGAGCAAACTGACATTGGTTTCAGCAGATTCCTTTGTTACAAAATCAAAATTCTATAAATATGTTCATTTCATTGAAGTGATATACTGTGTTCCAGGCATTAATAAAACATTGCTAAACAAATTTAATTTCCCCATTCCAGTAGAGGAAAGACATAATTTAGCAAGATAATTTTAAAGAGTACAAGTATATCAGTACATTATAATTGAGGCCAGGCTTGGTGGCTCATACCTGTAATCCCAGCACTTTGGGATACCAAGGTGGGAGGATTATTGAAGCCCAGGAGTTTGAGTCTAGCCTGGGCAACATAAAGGGACCCCATCTCCACAATAAATAAATAAATAAATAAGCTGGGCTTGGTGCCACGTGCCTGTGGTTCCAGCTACTCAGGAGGCTAAGGTGGGTGGATCACCTGAGCCCAGGAGGTTGAGGCTGCAGTAAGCTATGAATGTTTCACTGCACTCCAGCCTGAGTGACAGAGTGAGACCCCATCTCAAAAGAAATTATAATTGAGTCGTTGAATAGCCAATGACAAAGGAGCCTAATTACACCACAGAGCGATCAGATAAGTCCTTTCTTTGTAGATGGTACTTGAAACAAAAACTCAATAACAAGAAAGAGTAAGCTTTGTAAATCATATACTTGATAAGGATCCAAAATACACACACACACACACACGCACACACATACACCTCTTAAAACTCAACGAGAAAAAGACAGACAACCCAATTTTAAAATGGGCAAGAACTTAACTATCTCTTGCCAGTTATTCCTTAATGGTTTCTAAGAAACAACAGTTAAGGTTTTGGCAGGAAGGGTAATAGATTAGCTGACTACCACACTAGCATGGCTAAGTTTATCTAAGAAATCTTTGATGAACCCATTGCCAAAAACTTGGAGGAAGGGGCAATGGAGAGAAACTGCTTAATGGATAAGGGTTTTACTTCAGAGTGATGGAATATTTTGGAGCTAGATAGAGGTAGTAATTGTAACAACATCGCAAATGTACTAAATGCCATGGAATTGGTCACTTTAAAATGGAATAAATGATGAGAATTAAGAAGAAAGAAAGAATGTTAGCTTTCCATTTTTCATGAAGATTGTGAAAGCGCCTTGACAGGACGTGCTGGTAAAGCACCTCCTCCCGGGCTACGATTTGCTCACACTGGGGCTCACTCAGGATCACCTGCAGCAGGAGGCACTCCTTTCCACTCTCAGTTCAGAACCAAATAAACAAATAGTGCACCAACTTTGGAGAGACACACGTCAGAGCTAAACATATAATTTGGAAAATTATATGAGGCTAATTGCCCAGAAAAGACCTCTTAGCTTTTCACAAAGATTCACAGGGAAGATGTTGGAAGCCTCATCAGAAAGGCTTAGAACATTAATTTTCCCAGGACAAGAGTGAGAAAAAAAATTCTGGGAAACACAGGAGAGATGAGGCACAGAGGTATTTGTGTTTACCCAAGGGAACACCACCAAAGGATAAACAAAAAATGTTGCCATAAGCCCCTAAGACTCCATGGGCAGCTCAAAAGTCAAGTCTCCCAAGGCAATGTCCTTTTCTTAATCTTAGACTTTGCATATATATATATTCACCCAGTTTTGCTACATAAATCTCTTTGAGGGGCCTTTCAGGCATATATGCGTGTGTACATGTATATACATATATACATATACATGTATACACACATATATATACTTTTGCATATGCATATGTATAGCAAAAGTCACTTGCCGAACTTCAGATTATTCAAGGATTTATACCTGTATATGATGAATGTGGCATTATTCTGGCTCAGGCCTTTTATTTCTATAAATATCTAATGAATTCTTACTATAAAATCAGAATATCAAAGTTATAGATTCAAGCCCTAAGGTTTGTAGTCTGTCTTACCATGAGGCATGAAAGTGTCCCGAGGTCTTCCTATTAATTCAAGGTTTATTGTCTTAGGTCTGACTTCCGCACCTTCAGGTGGTAGCAGTTTCAAGCTTCAAATCAATAATTTTTGTCTTTTTTTTTTCTTTCTTTTTCTGACATGCTTTGTCTAACCAAAGTAAAGGTACCTAACAAGGCCCTCAAAGAGATTTATGTAGCAAAACTGGGTGAATACTGTTCTCTTTCTAGACTGCTTTCATGAAAGTCAGGTTAAAAATAACTGAAAATTTGCAAGGGCCTCAAACCAAGTCTGAAAAGTCAGCCTCCGCCAGGCACCAGAATCTGCTGGCTACTCATCAGTCACGGTTTAAAATTCATTTGTCTTGTTTGGTTTCCAATAAAAAATATAAACAAACAAACAAATAAATAAATATTAAGTACAGCCACCTTTTCTATAACAGGCCTTGGCAAAAACAAAGCAAAACAAAACCACGCAAATAAAATTATGAAGAGAGTCCTGGAATGTCAATCAAAGTCACCTTGTGGGTGATTTCTGTGTCCTTCCTGTGCAATAGCAAAAATGAAGAAGAAAATGAATAAAATACTGTCATCTCCTGACCCCCTTAGAATGTCTCCACATCCTAGTAGTTGAGGGGTTTTCTAGAAAACATTTGTATACTCAGAGCAGGTGGAAATGGCGAGTGTTTAGGACCCCGGACCCAACCCTTTTCACAAATGGGATCTGCTGTTAGCCCTGCTGTAAAGCATCTCCTTGGTAAGCCTGATTCAGACAAAGCTTGCATTGTGAATTTTGAATCACAAGCTCAATCCCTGTGCAACAGAACTTTCTGTGATGGTGGAAATGTTCTGTAAACCTCGTTCCTCGATACGGCGGCCGCTTGGACAAGTGACTATTGACCACATGGAATGTGACAGGTCTAAGGAATTCTTAATGAAATTTAATTTTTATTAATTAAAATTTAAATGGCCACACAGTAGTAACTGGGGCTACTACATGGGACATGGGCACAGAGGACACCGGCTGGCTTTCCTCACTAGTGGCAGCTCCAGAGATACCACTATCCCACAGCCCCATTTTAGCTACCTTTGGATTGGGGTGGAAGTCCTCTCTAGTAGTAGATGATAGAGAACTTAGAATTGCGAACAATTTTCTAAAACAATATAATCACTTTACTTTCAGATATGTGTGATTACTGACAAAAAGGGAACCAGCTTGCTAAAGTTGCAGTCCTGCTTGGCTTACAGAAATATCATTATTTTCAGTTAGCCTGTAAATACCCCAAACTGGACTTGGCTTACTTACTTTGCAATTTTATTGTCTATATGTATGTGAATGGTGTTTTACTGTATGTTTTAATCTTTTCATCACCCAGTTTCTCTTAAACTAATGCACTCCCTCAAGTAAAGGCTTTGCCTACCTACTAATCATGAAAAACTCATCCAGACAGCTGCTTGCTGTGTCGACAATGCCAAACAGCCTCCTCCACCTTGGTTGATTTAGCTAAGCCCTTGGTAGTATAAAGTAATGTTGATGGCTTTTACTTTTTTATTTTTTGCATTTTGAACTTTTAACACCCTTCTGCCTCCAAACTCTTAAGCTAAATTTCTTCACCTTTTACACCTGTTCATGATCTATGTATGCACACTTTACCAGTAGTATCTAGAATGTTATTCTTAAACTTTAGGGAACAAAGGAATCATCTGAAAGGCTTGTTAAACACATATTCCTGTGCCCTACACCCAAAGTTTCTGATTCAGTAGATCTAGAGTGGGGACAGAGAATTTGCATTTTCAGTAAGTTCTGAGGTGTTGAAGATGTAGCTTATCTGGAGACTATGCCTTAAGAAACACTGACATTGCGGCACTATTCACAATAGCAAAGACTTGGAACCAACCCAAATGTCCAACAATGATAGACTGGATTAAGAAAATGTGGCACATACACACCATGGAATACTATGCAGCCATAAAAAATGATGAGTTCATGTCCTTTGTAGGGACATGGATGAAATTGGAAATCATCATTCTCAGCAAACTATCACAAGGACAAAAAAACAAACACCGCATGTTCTCACTCATAGGTG
Organism: Homo sapiens; assembly: GCF_000001405.40. NCBI lineage: Eukaryota > Metazoa > Chordata > Mammalia > Primates > Hominidae > Homo > Homo sapiens. The sequence goes on along the minus strand of NC_000020.11, from coordinate 6,996,764 downwards.
GGAATTGAACAATGAGAACATTTGGACACAGGAAGGGGGACATCACACACCGGGACCTGTTATGGGGTGAGGGGAGCGGGTTGGGATAGCATTAGGAGATATACATAATGTACATGACGAGTTAATGGGTGCAGCACACCAACATGGCACATGTATACATATGTAACAAACCTGCACACTGTGCACACGTACCCTAGAACTTAACGTGTAATAAACATTTATGTATATATATATAAACACACACAGGAAGAGAAAAAATAAAAAGAAAGAAACACTGACATAAGTATTCTTCTTTATTTCTGGGACTCCTCCCCACAGCTACTTAAACCCTGTGGTTGGTCATTGTATTGAAGACCTCAGCAATGCTCTTTACAAAACTGGATGTGCGTGATTCCATTGGGACATTATTCAAATGAAGAGTTGGTGTCAGTGAGTCCAGAGTGGAACCTGAGGATCTGCATTTCTAACAAGCTCCTCAGTGATGCTGAGGCTGCTGGAACACCCTAAACTTCCCACTTCAACTTTTCACCTTGGGTATTTTCACCCCTGTGCCATTCTGAGAAACACAAGTTTCCCGAACCCTGCTAAGGAGCTGGGTTCTTTGACATTCATTGTTGCCTGAGAGTTCCTCCTGCTGGCTAACACTGCAGCTGCCACTCCCCAGTCCCATGCTCAGGGCAACCATCGTTGATTCATCCTGGCAATTGAGTCGGAATGCCCCCAGAAAACCTTTCTCAAAACAGTGTCCTCCAGGCCACCATGAGCAAATCCTGATAGAATAAGAGGAAACTGATTAACTCTCCTGATTCAAAATAAATCTCCTGGCTGGGAGTGCAGTGCCTCACACCTGTAATCTCAGAAATTTGGGAGGCCAAGGTGGGTGGATCACTTGGGGTCAGGAGTTCGAGACCAGCCTGGCTAACATGGTGAAACCCCATCTCTACTAAAAATACAAAAATTAGCCAGGCGTGGTGGTGGGCACCTGTAATTCCAGCCACTCGGGAGGCTGAGACAGGAGAATCGCTTGAGCCTGGGGAGGTTGAGGCTGCAGTGAGCCCAGATTGTGCCACTGCACTCCAGCCTGGGTGATAGTGAGACTCTATCTCAAAAAAACAAAACAAAACAAAATAAATCTCCCAAAATAGTTCTACGAAACTTCACTAGGGGTTAAATTTTTTTCCCACTTTTTAGTGCCAATAGACAATCATACTTTCTATGTAACTGAGAATATTTAGTTCATATGGTTATTCAGTTCCCTCTTTCAAATACTTCTATTAATTTTGATATATGTTTCTCGCTGTTGTTTTCAGCCATCATCTCTAATTACCTTCTGCCTTGGTAGAAGTCATGATCTGCTTTATTAATACTTGATTTTTTACCTTCCAAGATGATACACACTCTACTTAGTGTCTTTGATATGTTCTTCTTTTAAATTTCTCCCTTATCTAAGTTAAACTCTTATTTCTTTTGTCAAAAATGTGTACTCTTGATGCTTCTATTAGACCAAAATGCCTGTCTTGTTTCTCTCTTTGCTTTAACTTTCATTTCTTCAAAAGTGGAGTCTATTCACGGCTTCCATCTTGAAAGCAGCCCCTTATTCCTTAACCTACAGAAATGGATCCCCCCAACACCCCACCTACCTAGCAATAGTGCATAGCTGTTTACTCAGGAAACCCAATGACTTTTTCTCAATCCTCAATGCAGTAATTTTTATTGACTAGGTGCTTTGAAACAAAAGATTTTGTTTTCCACTACATCCTGGCCCATTCTTTAACACCCCTGGCTTCACTTCTGCTTCTATCACTAAATATCTAGAAGCCAAAAAGGGGTTCTGTCTCTGTTCTGCTACAGCTCTCTAGTCTTCCTCAGAAATCTCACTGACTGAGCTCATCTTTTCCTCCCCAAGTCAGTTTACTCTTTGAGTTTTCTTATTTTGTTGTTTAAGTGGCCTGGGCTCAAAGTCCCAGAATCCGCCTGAACCTGCCCACACGTCACTCTCTACACCCAGTGAGTTCTCAGGTCCTATAAATACTTCCTTCAAAATGTTTCTCTCTTTCAAATGATTCTTTAAAACATTCCATTCCTTTTTATCACTGCCAATTCCAACCTCGTGCAGGTCTCTCATTACTCAATCCTCTAAGCATACTGGGCATTTCTCAATTCTCTCCATGTCAATTAATCTAAGAGGCTGTTGTAATGGAATTTCCCCAAACCCTTCCTTCTTATGTCACACTCATGTTCCCAAAGCCCTCATCACCCCACATTTCCTGTAGTTAAATAAAAGATCTATATCCTATCCTGGTGTTCAAGAGCCTCTGTAATGGGACCATTCAATGTATCTACATTTCTCTCCTTCTACTTGCCTCCATGGACTTTTCATGAACTCTCCACTTTAGCCATATTGGTTCACTTTTTCTCAAAATATGTCATGTTGTGTGCACAGAGCCACCCCACCCCATCCTTAGCCCCTGCCAGTTGCCTATGTCCTCCCTTCCTCCATTATTCATCCCAAACTCCAACAGCTGGGTCCACCTCTCCTGACTTTAGTCTCAGTGTGCTTTGCATGTTGCAAGCCTGGTTTGAACAATTCAATTAGCACCTAGTCTTTCTTTTTTTCTATATCTTTTTCCTATAAATCCTAAATTCCTGCACAGATTTGAAGCTCCCTGTACAAGGAGCTCTATCTGACATTTGTGATACGTAGAATGGCAGCATGTGGATCAGCAGTACCACCAGACAGCTGAGTTTGAAAGTAAAGACTTGATTCTAATTTTGTCCACTTATAGATCAACGTTAGAATTTCTATGCAGTTTAAACTTAGCTTTGCCCTCAGGGTGATAATTTTACACAGTGTCCTGCAAAAGATATACACGCCCAAACAGATAGCATTTCTTACAATAACAAGACCTCCACACAGTCAAAAGCTGCAGTTGAACTAAATCTTCTTTCATATTCTAGTTAATAAATGCTCCTAAATATTTTCAAGTTTCTCCACCGTCGCTAAGGCTTAGAGAGGCTATTTGTCATACTTGCGAAGGCTTCAAATGAGGCATGATTTCCAGAAGAAAGCAGCTGTGTAAAATTGGCCTGCAAACAGAAAGACGGCATGGCTGTGGGACACCTAGCCTGCTGTCAACAACCAAAACTCTCACCGGCACTGGTAATGTTTTATTGGTTTAATATTAAATAACTGCCCCTGCATACGGAGTGTATTATATTTAATGGTACTCTAATACTTGGAACTGCAGTTTTCTCTCATGCACCTGTAAAATTAGTATTTCCAAATATTCCACTAAGTTAATAAAGCTTAATTTGTTTTATGTGCGGTGTCCAAAAGCCTGACATAGGCAGTGGAACTCTTGACTTGGAGAAGATCTGATGGGTAAATGGTTATTCACCACCTAAGAGGGACTGTTTTTTTTTTCTCTCTCTCTCTATGTATCTCAATGCACACTATTTGAAACAAAGATTATAAGGTTTTTGTTTATCTTGAGTCATCAGTGAGCGATTAATGCACTTTGGTTACCCTTTGCTTTGTTCAGGGTAAGTCTGGATGGGGAGATGAGTAATTGCAGGTTTGCTAAGACCAAACCTGAAGACGATTCTTCAGCCTGCTCCTGTTTGAATGCCTTAACTATTACTAAACCTTGGGTAGGGAGTCATTTTTAGTTTTGCCCAGACATTTTAAGCCTTCAATTAGAAAGGATTATTTACCAATAGTATTCATTTGAGGGCAAAATTTCCCAATTATAAAACAGTTAAAACAAAAGCTGAAAACAATGAAATTTGGATTCTGTGTTTTTCTTACTGAAAGTTATGACCTGGCTCACTCAGAACTCACCATTCATATTAATTCATCTTGTTTCTAGAAGCCATTGTGATCTTCTGATTCTGCTTTTGGCACTAAGAACAGTCTGAACTAAGGTACAAAATAAAAACAGGTTTTAATAAATTCAATGGGCATTGTGGCCACCCAGCCTGTTCTTTATAGACTCACTTTCTAAGATTAACTGACCTACAGACTGATTTTTTTCAAAGTTGCCCATTTAAAATTGGATCTTCGTTCATATGCAAGTATTTGTTTGAATACCTGTTTTCAATTATTTGGGGGTATATATTCAGATACATCCATGGCAACAGAGAGCAAATTATCTGTTGCCAGGTGCTTGGGGCAGGGGAGAGTGCAAGTGACTGTTTAATAGGTACAGGGTTTCTTTTTGGGGGTGATGAAATGTTTTGAGCCTATAACAGATAGCATTAATAGTTGCATTGCATTATAAATGTACTGAATAAATACAATTGAATTATACATTTTACAATGGTTTATTTTATGTTAGGTGAATTTCACCTCAATTAATAAACAAAAAACTAGAACTTCAGCATGGGCTTGCTGAATGTATCGTTTGCAAGCCAGCCCCTTTCAGCACAAGCTTATAAGTGGTATTGAGCTACCCTTACAAATGAGCCCTAGAGCCTAGCTTCTGAAAGAAACACATGGCTTTCGACTATTTCTTACATATCCTCATGTGATCAAACTTGCCTACTTCTATTTAGATCTACTGCGCCTGTTGCTATTAACAGGACTATGTAGAGAGCCAACGCCCGTCCCTGCACTTTCTCAAAGATCTTTCCTCCAGTCTCTGATTGTCTTTCCACATGATACTGCTTTTCTTCATTTGTTTTTATTTTCTGATTACATCTAAGGAGCCAGCAATTTTTAGGGACTCCGCATTAGCCTTTTCTCTTCTCTGCCCTGTGGGGATATCAGATGATTGATATCACCTGGCTGCTGAGGAGGCCCAAATCTGGACCTGCTGCCCTGCTGCCTCCCCTGGTTCCAGACCTGTGTGGCATTAACCACCTGCATGCCCAAAAGATGATCACTTCCCAGATAGAGGCCATTATAAATTAGCTCACCTTCATATAATTTTTTAAAATGGTTTAGAAAGTACTTTCACAGATGTTATCTCTTTAAATCTTCACATCATCCTTGTGAGACAAATAACATTGCAATGCCTCTACTCTCTGCTTTGCAGATAAGAAGGCTGAAGCAGAGAGAGGTGCAGTGGTCAAGGTCACTGGGCTGATAAAATACCCACTGTATTAGTCCATTTTCATACTGCTATAAAGAACTGCCGGAGACTGAGTAATTTATAAAGGAAAGAGGTTTAATTGACTCACAGCTCAACATAGCTGGGGAGGACTCAGGAAACTTACAATCATGGCAGAAGGTGAAGACGAAGCAAGGCACCTTCTTCACAAGGTGGCAGGAAGGAGAGTTGCTGAGTGAAGAGAGGAAGATCCCTTTATAAAACCATTCGGTCTCGTGAGAACTCACTCACTATCACCAGAACAGCATAGGGGAACCACCCCCCGCCCATGATGTTCATTTACCTGCACCTGGTCTCTCCCTTGACACGTAGGGATTATGGGGATTATGAGGATTAAAATTCAAGAAGAGATTTGGGTGGGGACACAAAGCTGACCACATCACCTATCCTGCCATATAATAGGGTGTCTTTACATTCCTTCAAAAATGTTCCCTCTACCACATTTGCATTCTCTTTTGTCAATGCCACTTTCTTTCCACCCAGATCTGGAAGTAGACTCTTCCAAGTTATTCTCAACTTTCTTCCTCCTCAGTACCCACATATATCCAGGTCTGTCACCTTGAATCTTATTCTACAGCCATGGCCAACTGTGCATTCCCTCTTCTCCCTCTCATCAGACTATTGCAAAATTCTCTTAGCTGATCTCCTAGTTCCCACTTCTATGGAGCTCCAGATGATTATATCTTATCACTACTTTTGTCCCAAGAGCCTTGATTAATCATCATTGTCTATCAGATTACCACCACGTCAAAAGCTTTAGCATGCCATTCAAGGCTTCTTCACATGCTTCCACTTGCCAGGCCCAGCTCTCAAGACTTCTTCCCATGTCTCTAATCCAGAGCCACTGAACCACCTTCTGTCCAGAAGCCATCGCATTTCACTTTCCTATGCCTTCACTTGTGCTATTTCTCCTTCTTGAATGTCCTTTTTATTTATTTTCTAACTAAGGGAACCCTTCAAAACTCAATTTTAAAATCACTCTTCTTGAGAAATATTTCCTGCGTCCTCTATACTTGGCCCATGGAGGAGTAGTCAACCCTTATTTGATGTTCAATGGAAAATATTATACATAACATGTGTGTAAGTTTCCTAGGGTCACTGTAACAAATAACCACAACTTTAGTTTCTTAAAACAATAGACATTGATTTTCTCACAGTTCTAGAGGACGGAAGTACAAAATTAAGGTGTCAGCAGGGCCACCCTCCTTCCGGAGGCTCTGGGGAGAATACTGTCCTTGTTTCTAGCTTTTGGTGGCTGTAGTTATCCCTTGTCTTATGGCTGCATTTCTCTTTGCTCTGGCTTCAGCTTGCCTTCTCCTCCATGTGTCTACCTCAAAACTCCATATGCCTCTCTCTCGTGAGGACATATATGATTACATTGAGGGCCCACCCATAAAATCCAGGATAAATGCCTCTTCTCAAGATCCTTAATCACATCTTTTGCCATCTAAGGTAATATTCACTCTTTGGCATGTAGGGCAAAATTCGCAGGGATTAAGATGTAGACATCTGTTTGGAAGCTACCTTTAAACCCAATACACTGTGACTATAGTTGGTGATACACTGAGTTATAGCTCCTTGGAGTGTATCCCCATTATCAGCTACTGATGCATGAGGACCAGCTCTTCTAGATACCCAAGAGCAACTGTTATTGTATTAACACCACTACTTCCACCCTCTCCTGAGAAAAAATAATGTTCAGAATGAAAATATTTGAAAGCCTGTTGAAAGTCTTTAACCATTATAGCCTCATATATGTGGATTTTAGAGGGAGACCTCAGTATAGTGTTTAAGAGGCAGCTAATGGAATGTTTAAGAACAGACCGGCAAGCAGGTTTCATGGATCCAATCTAGTGTGCAACCTTATGGAAGTCATTTACCCTGTGTGTGCTTCAGTTTTCTTATTCTAGAATGAGGAAAATAATAACAGTATCTGCCTTGTAGGGTAAATATGATGAATTTTATGTGAGTTTTTATGGGAAAAGCACCAGAAAACATGTATTATAATTAAGACAAAATGTGATATCCGAATATTACAGTTCTATCCACTATAATGAATTTACAGCAGATGCTAGGTTTGTCAGCTATGCCCTCTGAAGAAGAGACACTGAGATAGAATCACATGTGGGTAGTATTTTAAGGGAAAGTGCTTGTGTGAAAGAAAATGAAGAGCATCCAGGTGAGGCCGGAGAGCCACTAGACTGTGAAGGAAACCTGACCCTTGACCCCGAATGAAGGAAGAGGGAAGAGATGTCAACTGAAAGCATCCTAGGCCACTGTGCAGACTTAGTATGGCTAAGGCTATTCGAGAAACTGTGAGCTAAAGTCAGTATATATTTTTGCATTCTGGAGAAAATTTTTACACTTGCTTAAGTTTAATGCTTCTCATATTCTCCAGTTGTTCTGATAATGCATCCTGGAAAACAGCCTTTCAACCAGGGCAGTCCTGTCTGATCACTTGCCAGTGTGTCTCTTGTCTTAGAGGCATTTTTCCTGGAGGCCTTCAACATCCTGTTTCATTCTGGACTATTTGCTCTCTAGGCCAAAACACCTGTCATGCAGAAAGTTCCTTTTTCTTCATGTTGTAAATTCTATTTGCTTCTCTTACATATGATTCCTTGGATCCCAATATGCCTCTGTCTTATTTGTTTATTTTGTTGAAATATATTTTCTGGGAGTTTCCTGAGATTGAGTGCTTGGTTGGGTGAGGGAGGATTATTTTGGGACATTGTATGTCTAAAAATGACTTTACTCTGTCCTAACACTGGAACGAAAGTTTTGCTAGGTATACAATTATGGTTTGAGGAATCATTTTCACTAAAAGTTTTGAAGACCTATTCCAGTGCATTCTAGTTGCTCTCTGATACCATTCCTACACTTTATTCTTTGTTATGTTCTCATTTCTTCAGCCCCTGGAGGTTATTACAATTTTCTCTTTATCACTTGTTTCATAAAATTATCATGATAAAGTTGCTTTGGTGGAGTCACTTTTTTATTCACTGTAGTGAATACTTGGTGGAAAAGTTCAATGCCCTTAGCACTGACAAATTTTCTTTTTTTTAATTTAATTTTATATTTTTGAGAGAAAGATTCTTGCTATTGTTGCTAGGCTGGCTTCTTGAACTCCTGGACTCAGGCGATCCTCTCACCTCAGCCTCCTGAGTAGCTGGAATTAGAGGTGTGTGCTACCACTCATGGCTAGTACCTGACAAATTTTCTTACATTATTTTGTTGATAATGTCCTCCTCCCTATTTTTTCTGTTCTCATCTTTTCAAACACTTAGTAACTGCGTATTAGGTCACCTAGAATCATCTGATAGTATTCTTATAACTGCTATAACACATCTCATTTTCTTTTTATTTCTATAATTTGGACATTTCCCTCAAATTTATTTTCCAAAACTTCTTTTTTTAAAATTTTAATCCTATTATTAATTTACAAGATCTCATTCTATTCTTTGTTCCATTTTGACAACATTTTAATATGCAATGGTTATAATATCTTTATATATCTTTTTAACATGATTAATAAGAATTTCTTTAAAGCAGTCTTTTCTTCCCTATATTACGTCTTCTTTTTCAGACTTCTTTGTTCTTGTTTGTTATGTTCCATATCTTCCCTGTAGTAGGATTTCCTCAAATGGCTGATGTTGCTTGTTCATCCATTTACTTAACAGTAAAACAACAAATAGTTGAATGGAAGCTTTATTTATGTTTGTGGGGTTTGTACATAGGGGAGGTTGACTCTCAGGTGATTAGATGAAAAGATGGCTGCATCTTTGCATAGAACCAAGTAGAGATACTAGCATCTTTGCTGCTAGCTCAAAACTATGAATCTCCTGGTATTCTTTCTGTAGATCATTTTGGTGCTCCACAAAATTAACCTCCAATGTTATGTCTGGGAAGGGGTATATCTAAAGGCAGGACTACAGGCAGGAAAGGTAGTTCTCACCTTTTGATTTAAAGACTTCTACTTCATGGTATTATAATCAACACAAAACCTCCAGCTTATCCTCTTCGGGGCTCCTCATTCCTAATCACTGAGATTTTTCTAGTCCAATTTCTCTAGAGAATAAACTTCCAAGGCTCTTGCAGGTATTAGGAGTGGGAAGTGTTTGGATCACAAGGGTGGATCCCTCATGTCTTGGTGCTATCTTTGTGTTAGTGAGTTCTCACGAGATCTAGTGGTTGAAAAGTGTGTGGCACCTACCCGGCCCCCACTGCTGTTCTTGCCATGTGATGTGTTTGCTCCTGCTTTGCCTTTTGCCATGATTGAGATCTCCCTGAGGCTTCACCAGAAGCTGAGCAGATGCCAGCACCATGCTCCCTGTAAAGCCTGCAGAACTGTGAGACAGTTAAATGTCTTTGCTTAATAAGTTACCCAGTCTCAGGTATTTTATTAAAGCAATGCAATAATGAACTAATACACAAAATTTCCCACTATTTTTTTTTTTTTTTTTTTTTTACTTTTTGACAACCTGTGGAGAAGATGTCAAAAAATGCTTTATCTATTCTACCATTTGGAAATAAAAGCATTCATTTTCTGTTAATGCCCATACCCTTTTTGCTCTTATAGTTCAAGCTGTACTTTTTACTTTCCTTCTCCTAGCAAGATAGCCTTGCCCACCACCATCCCTAAATGTTTAAAGGCCCAGTTTTTTTCTCAAAATTTTATCTTTAACCTGAACTTTTTGTTTCTTTAACTTTTGTGACTGGCTTTTTTTGTTTTTAACTTTTATTTTAGGTTCAATGTACATGTGCAGATCTCCTATATAGGTAAACTGCGTGTCACAGGGGTTTGCTGGGCAGATTATTTCATTACCCAGGGAATAAGCATAGTGGTGGCGGTTTTTTGACCCTCACCCTCTTCCCAACCTCCACCCTCAAGTACGCCCCAGTGTCTGTTGTTCCCGTATTTGTGTCCAAGGATACTCAGTGTTTAGCTCCCACTTATAAGTGAGAATATGCAGTATTTGGTTTTCTCTTCCTGTGTTAGGTTGCTTAGGATAATGGCCTCCCACTGCATCGATTTTCCTGAAAAGGTCAAGATCTTGTTGTTTTTTTATGGCTGTGTAGTATTTCATGGTGTGTATGTACACATTTTCTTTACCCAATCCACTGTTAATGGGCACCTTGGTTGATTCCATGTCTTTGCTCTTTGCTCTTCTGAATAGTGCTGCAATGAACACACAAGTGCGTGTGTCTTATCGGTAAAGCAATTTATTTTCTTTTGAATACACACCCAGTAATGAAATTGATGGGTCAAATAGTAATTTTGTTTTTGCTTTTGTTTTTGTTTCTTTATTTTGAGACAGAGTTTCACTGTTGTTGCCCAGGCTGTAGCGCAATGGCGTAATCTCAGCTCACCAAAACCTCCGCCTCCTGGGTTCAAGTGATTCTCCTGCCTCAGCTTCCCTAGTAGCTGGGATTACAGGCATGCACCACAGTGACCAGCTAATTTTGTATTTTTAGTAGAGACGGTGTTTCTCCATATTGGTCAGGCTGGTCTCGAACTCCTGATCTCAGGTGATCTGCCCACCTTGGCCTCCCAAAGTGCTGGAATTACAGGCGTGAGCCACCGCACCCAGCCAATTGTTATAAGTTCTTTTGAGAAAAGCCTCAAAACTGCTTTCCACAAGCTTTGGGGTTGGTTTTCTCTTGTTTCTCCAGTTTCTCTAGATGTGATGTTAGGTTGTTAATTTGAGATCTTTCTAATTTTTTGATGTAAGTGTTTAGCACTATAAACTTCCCTCTTGACACTGCTTTAGCATCCCACAGATTCTGTTATGTTGTATCTTTGTTCTCATTAGTTTCTAAGAATTTTCTCTTCCTGCATTAGTTTGGTTTCTACCTTAATTTTATTGTTTACACACAAGTCATTCAGGAGCTGGTTAATTTCTATGTAATTATATTGTTTTGAGCTATTTGTTAGTATTGATTTCAGTTTTTATTGTGCTGTTGTCTGAGAACATGGTTAATATATTTTCATTTTTTAAAAATTTGCTGAGGATTATTTTATGAACAATTGTGTGGTCAATTTTAGAGTATGTGCCATGTACAGATGAGAAGAACGAATATTCTGGAATTTGAGGGTAGAGAGTTCTGTGGATGTCTGTTAGGTCCATTTGGTTAAATGTCAAATTCGGGTCCTAAATGTCTGTTAATTTTCTGCCTCAGTAATCTGTCTAATACTGTCAGTGAGATGCTGAAGTACCCCACTATTTTTGTGTGATTATCCAAGTCTCTTTATAGGTCTCTAACAACTTGTTTTATGAATCTGGGCACTCCTGTGTTGGGTAATAGGTATTTAAGATAGTTAGGTCTTGTTGAATTGAACCCTTTACCATTATGTCATGTGCTTCTTTGTCTTTTTAAATCATTGCTGGTTTAAAGTCTGTTTTGTCTGAAGTTAGAATAGCAACTCCTGCTTTTTTCTGTTTTCCATTTGCTTAGATTTTTTTTCCATCCCTTTACTTCGAGCCTGTGAATGTCATTGTATGTATGATGGGTCACTTGAAGACAACATACAGTGGAGTCCTGCTTCTTTATCCAACTTGCCAGTCTGTGCCTTTTAATAGGGGCATTTAGTCAGTTTACTTTCAAGATTAATATTGATATGTTCAGGTTTGATCCTTTCACTGTGTTGTTAGCTAGTTATTATGAAGACTTGATTGTACGGTTGCTTTATAGCGTGGATGGTCTACGTACTTAAGTGTGTTTCTGTGGTGGCTGGTAATGGTCTTCCTCTTCTATGTTTAGCACTCCCTTAAGGACCTCTTAGAAGGCAGGTCTGGTGGTCATGGATTTCTTTAACATTTACTTTTCTGAAAGGGATCTTATTTCTCCTTCACTTGTGAGTTAGTTTGGCTGGATATGAAACTTTTGGTTGGAATTTCTTTTCTTTAAGACTGCTGAATATAGGCCCCCTATCTTTTCTGGCTAAAGGTTCTGCTGTTAGCCTAATGGGCTTCCATTTGTATGTGACCTGTCCGCTTTCTTTCTAGCTGCCTTTAACCCTTTTTTTTCTTTTTTTTTCATTTCAACCTTGGCAAATCTGATCACTATGTGTCTTTGAGATCTTATATAGTATATCACAGGGGGTCTCTGCATTTCCCGAATTTGAATGTTGGCGCCTCTAATGAGGTTGGGGAAACGTTCATGGACAATATCCTCAAATATGTTTCCCAAGTTGTGTACTTTCTTGCCTTCTTTTTCAGGGACACCAGTGAATTGTAGACCTGGTCTCTTTACATAATCCTCTATTTCTCAGAGGCTTTGTTTATTCTTATTTATTATTATTTGTCCTTATTTTTGCGTGACAGTTATTTTGGAGAACTGGTCTTCAAGCCCTGAGATTTTTTTCCTCACCTTGGTCAATTCTGCTGTTAATATTTTTGATTGTATTATGAAATTCTTGAAGTGAGTTTTTCAGCTCCATAAGATCAATTTGATTCTTTGTTAAAATGGTCATTTCGTCTTTCATCTCCTGTATCATTTCATTGTTTTCTTTATATTCCTTGGATTGAGTCTGAAATTTCTCCTGAATGTTGATGATCTTTGTTCCTATCCATATTCTGAATTCTATTTCTGTCATTTCAGTCATTTCAACCTGGTTAAGAACCATTGCTGGGAAAATAGTATGGCCATTTGGAGGTGAGAATACACTCTGGCTTTTTGAGTTGCCAAGTTCTTGTGCTGGTTCTTTCTCATCTATATGGGCTGATGTTCCTTCAATCTTTGAAGTTGCTGTCCCTTGGATGGGCTTTATTTTATTTTTGCTTTCATTTTCTTTAATGCCACTGGGAGTTTGAGTGTGGTATAAGGTGGGTTCCGTTGACTGGCTTCGTTTCCCTTCCTCAGGAGTCACTGAAGGCCAGAAATGAATCCTGGTGATCAGTAGCCCTGTGCAGGGTCCCTACTTCCTTTCTAATCAGCCCAGTGTTCTGAGTTGCACTTTTCCATCTGCTCCAAATTACCTTCTTTCCTGCAATTTTAAAAATTATGTGTATTTCTTTCCTTTGAGGATAAATAATTGTCTATATAGAATTCAAAATAGGGAGATATACAAAACACTGCCAACAACAAATTACTCAAAGAAAGGGTGAGGAGAAATTCCTGGACATCAGGTCTACCAGTTACTCATTTAAACATCAAACTGATTCTCATGTATTTTTGCCTTGGCATTTTAAGCTTCTAGAAATGCCTTATGGAACATTATAGTATGGATGCTCAGCAAACTGCGCAGTGTGAATTCTAGCAAACTGAGCAGGCCTCAATTGGTCTGAGTACAAGTCTCTGGGATAAGTTTAACAACAACAATTATGCATTTTATTCATTGGTTTGGGAATGTTAGCAGACAAATTAAAAGTCTCACAGTGTCAGTAATAAAATAAAAGCAATTTAAATATATCTTATGTTATTAAATAGTTCTGATGGTTGCTTAAATTACTTCACAGATTTATAATTACCCCTAAGAATACCACTGTGCAATCATTTTATTTTTTTGAATGAGCAAACAGAGGCATGAGATAATAAATTAGGTTTTTAAAAAATTGCTTGCAGAAAGGACAGGGAGAATTAAGAAGCTATTAACTGGGCTTGGCCTAATGTCTTGTTTGTTAGCCACATGATCTCTCATATAGTGTACTTTTCATGACACTATTGGGCTTAAAACGTTAAGTTTTTACACTAAACTGGACACTGAAATGTACAAATCGTATGAGTTTTCTTACACCTACAACTCCCACTCAATAACATTAAATAAATTGTAATTAAAACTATTTTAATTGTAAAACTTCTAATTAAAATGTTATATATTTAAACTCATTGAAATTATAACGTTGCTGGAGAAAATGTAATTAAATTTAGTTCCTGGTCATGTACATTTTTTAAACTTGTGCCTATTTTAAAGAATCCTTACAATTCTGATGATTCAAATCCAAAGAATAATTCGGTGAGTGTGAAACTATACCATGAACTTCATAGGTGGGTAAAAACCACTGGATTCAAAATCATTCAATTGCCTGCATGAGCCAGAATTTGGATCAGGTTTTTGGAAAATGTGGTCTACTATTAAGGCTCTGAATTGGAACTTTGTGAAGGAAATGTAGAGCAGCTAAAAAAGAAAAATCAATGTAAAGAAGAGAGAAAGAACTGTATTTTCAAATTATAAAGGGATTGTGTTACAATAGATATTAGTGTTCCTATGGCATGGATAGCTCTTGATTGTACTATAAAATATTTCTTCTAATCCTAACATTCACACAGTGATAGCTTCCCCAGCGCACAGCAGAAGCTGTTATCCCTCTCTCACCACTCCTATTCAACATAGTGTTGGAAGTTCTGGCCAGGGCAATCAGGCAGGAGAAGGAAATAAAGGGTATTCAATTAGGAAAAGAGGAAGTCAAATTGTCCCTGTTTGCAGATGACATGATTGTATATCTAGAAAACCCCATCGTCTCAGCTCAAAATCTCCTTAAGCTGATAGGCAACTTCAGCAAAGTCTCAGGATAAAAAAATCAATGTGCAAAAATCACAAGCATTCTTATACACCAATAACAGATAAACAGAGAGCCACATCATGAGTGAACTCCCATTCACAATTGCTTCAAAGAGAATAAAATACCTAGGAATCCAACTTACAAGGGACGTGAAGGACCTCTTCAAGGAGAACTACAAACCACTGCTCAATGAAATAAAAGAGGATACAAACAAATGGAAGAACATTCCATGCTCATGGGTAGGAAGAATCAATATCGTGAAAATGGCCATACTGCCCAAGGTAATTTATAGAGTCAATGCCATCCCCATCAAGCTACCAATGACTTTCTTCACAAAATTTGAAAAAACTACTTTAAAGTTCATATGGAACCAAAAAAGAGACCGCATTGCCAAGTCAATCCTAAGCCAAACGAACAAAGCTGGAGGCATCACACTACCTGACTTCAAACTACACTACAAGGCTACAGTAACCAAAACAGCATGGTACCGGTACCAAAACAGAGATATAGACAAATGGAACAGAACAGAGCCCTCAGAAATAATGCCACATATCTACAACTATCTGATCTTTGACAAACCCAACAAAAACAAGAAATGGGGAAAGGATTCCCTATTTAATAAATGGTGCTGGGAAAACTGGCTGGCCATATGCAGAAAGCTGAAACTGGATCCCTTCCTTACACCTTATACAAAAACTAATTCAAGATGGATTAAAGACTTACATGTTAGACCTAAAACCATAAAAACCCTAGAAGAAAACCTAGGCAATACCATTCAGGACATAGGCATGGGCAAGGACTTCATGTCTAAAACACCAAAAGCAATGGCAACAAAAGCCACAATTGACAAATGGGATCTAATTAAACTAAGGAGCTTCTGCACAGTAAAAGAAACTACCAGCAGAGTGAACAGGCAACCTACAGAATGGGAGAAAATTTCTGCAATCTACTCATCTGACAAAGGGCTAATATCCAGAATCTACAAAGAACTCAAACAAATTTACAAGAAAAAAAACAAACAACCCCATCAACAAGCGGGCGAAGGATATGAACAGACACTTCTCAAAAGAAGACATTTATGCAGCCAAAAGACACATGAAAAAATGCTCATCATCACTGGCCATCAGAGAAATGCAAATCAAAACCACAATGCGATATCATCTCACACCAGTTAGAATGGCGATTATTAAAAAGTCAGGAAACAACAGGTGCTGGAGAGGATGTGGAGAAATAGGAACACTTTTACACTGCTGGTGGGACTGTAAACTAGTTCAGCCATTGTGGAAGTCAGTGTGGCATTCCTCAGGGATTTAGAACTAGAAATACCATTTGATCCAGCCATCCCATTACTGGGTATATACCCAAAGGATTATAAATCACGCTGCTATAAAGACACATGCACACATATGTTTATTGCGGCACTATTCACAATAGCAAAGACTTGGAACCAACCCAAATGTCCAACAATGATAGACTGGATTAAGAAAATGTGGCACATATACACCATGGAATTCTATGCAGCCATAAAAAGGATGAGTTCATGTCCTTTGTAGGGACGTGGATGAAACTGGAAACCATCATTCTCAGCAAACTGTCGCAAAGACAAAAAACCAAACACTGCATGTTCTCACTCATAGATGGGAATTGAACAATGAGAACACATGGACACAGGAAGGGGAACATCACACACCAGGGCCTGTTGTGGGGTGGGCGGAGGGGGGAGGGATAGCATTAGGAGATATACCTAATGTTAAATGACAAGTTAATGGGTGCAGCACACCAACATGGCACATGTATACATATGTAACAAACCTGCACGTTGTGCACATGTACCCTAAAACTTAAAGTATACTAAAAAAAAGAAAAAATAAATAAATGAATAACCTATTATGCAAATATGTAAATGTACTAAGCACCTATTATTACTAAATACTAAGTTTTTCACAAAAAGCATACTTAGATGAGTTGACTAGCATTTAAGAATGCTTTTTGTATACCTTATATTTTGATTTTCACCATAGCCCCATGAGATAAGGCTTTTATTACCTTCATTTTAGAGAGAGGAAACTAAAAATCAGATACATTAAGTGAAATGTTAAGTGTCACAGAACTACAGTGGGCAGAGGCAATATTTAAACCAATTTCTTTCCAGAAACTCATTGTCTTTCCACTGAGAAGTTCATGAGGTCTTGTTATCCAAATGATGTCGTAAGTCCCTGAGTCCAAAAGACAGAGTAGAAAAGGTGACCACTGGAATTTATGGAGCTCTTTTATAGTTGGGTAGCTCTGAAGGAAAACAGAGAGTTGTCTATAGCCATGGGAACATTTCATCGGAAAAATGACAACAATATTGCATAAACCACCCCAAAGGTCAGTAACTTAAAGCAGCAATAAACTTATAACTCACACATGATTACAGGTCAGCTGAGGCTTCATCCATCTATACTGGACTCTTGGGGCAGTTTAGCCTGTGGAGTCCATGGAGGATTCTGATTCATGGGGCAGGTGGGTGAGAGAATTTAGATATAGCCTGCAGATATAGCTTGTCATGTCTTTTTCCATGTTTCCTTCTGCAGCTCAGACAAACAGGCAGCTATGGCTTGGGGAATATGCTTCTTCTGACAATGGCAAAAACATAAGGCAAATGAAAACCTATGAAACTAGGCTGGAAATGGCAAGTTGGCATTTCTACATGACAATGGACAAAGCCAGGGCTGAGTCCCAAATCAAAGGGAGGAAAAATGAAATATGCCCTCCATGAGGCAACCACAAGGTAAAGATATAGAAGAGGATGTGGATTAATGGAGCCAGCAATCAATCTGCTTTCTAAGCAACTCCTGGCTTAAAAAACTGAGATCAGGTACACTGCCCTGACAATAAAAATAAGTTCACCTTTCTTCCTTTACTGCTACAGGAACTGGAAATGCAAAATGAATAAAAAATGTTCCTCTTCCCTTCAACTAAGACAGAAACGTAAACAATATCTCCACAGTGCATGGGAACTTTCATTCACTAAAGAGAGAGTAATCAGAATAACATTTCAAGATGTCAGTTTGGAATATAAATCAGAATGGTTAAAAAAATTCATATCATTTGATTCAGAAGCTTTCCATCTCAACATTTAGCTGAAGAAAACAACTAAATAAGTATGCTCGGGTGCACATACAAAGATATTAATCAAATATTGTTTAAAAGAGCAAATATCTGAAAAAAAAGTCTAAACTCAAAAGAACCAGATGGATTTCTGGAAGTAAATACACTAAGTATTTATTTTATTTAGTTATCTGTGGTTGATGGGGTTATGGGTGTATTTTTCTTTTTGTTTCTGTTTAGTTTCTATTTTGTCTACAGTGAGCGGGGTTACTTACATGAAGATGAATTAAATTAACATATAACTTAGACAGAACTTGAAATCATAATCTTACTAAAACAGAGAAATCAGGATTCACACATAAAGAAATAATTAAAATATAACATAATTTGTTTCACAACAGTTTGCTATATAGCAAGTACAAAGAAGGTAACTCTATCAGATGTGGGTGAGTCCTAGGGAAACTTTACAGAGAAGATATTATTAGATCTAAATCCTACAAGATGTGTGGGAGCTTACTAGAAGGAGGAAGAACAGTGAGACCAGTGGATGTTCCAGGTAGAGGAGAGTACTTTGTAGAGATAATTGATAATTAAGGATATTTTGTAGAAAGAAGTACCAATGACATTTCCATTAGTCAAAAACCCTCAAGGGGATTGAGAAGCCAGAGTATAACTTAATACATTTATCAAATTCTCCCTACCAAAGTCATTAATCAATACATTTTCATAATCGATAAGGCACTGATGAAAGAAAGGATGGCATGTCTATAGTGGAAGAGGAGGATCTTAGATTTGTGATATTGAGAAAATGCTTGTAAATCAAGTGACCACTTTCTCATGATCCTTAATTAAATTTTTGAGCATTCAAAAGCTTAGGTGGTTGCTGAAAAGACTGTTGATTTGAATTATGTTGTAGAATTGAAAATGATAGATCATGCATAATCAGACATTTCTTCCTGAGAAAGGCAGAATAGTTTTTCAAAACCATTTGGAGGATGTGGTCCATTTGCTAATTTCCATTTCTGGACTTGATTTATAACCATATGATTTCATCAAGCTCAGGCTTGAAAGAAGAATTTCTGCCTGGCAGATATTTTAGACAGAACCAGATTGCCCAACATCATCAAATTTCAGGATTGTTACATTTTCCAGCAACTATTCTATTCATCCACGCTTTGCATGTGCTCACTTCTTTTTTCTTTTCTTAGAGCTTTTATATGGTGATTATTTTCTTCTGTTACTAATAAATAAATAATAATCTTGAACTTTCTAAACTTCCAGTTTTTCATAGAGTCAACATATTTTGTTTCTTTCCTCAATCAATAACACTAATGAAAAGAGTATGAGCTCAAGGGAAAACGAGTTCACTTGCGTTGCAAATTCTGGCACAATTTTATTTCTATTCTAGACTATTTATACTTGACTTCTGTGTAATTATTTTATGTATATATCTTATCTCCCTCTTGCAAAACATTAATCATTTTTTCCAATGCAGCAACTACAGCACATACTTCTTTTATATTTTTGTCCAAATCCCTACCCCTACTAACAGACACGTATAATGTTAAGTTATGAAATTCACTGAAACTAGTGAGGTTAAATAAATTCACACTATTATTCTTGCTGTTCTAAACTGTGCATATATGTACATACCTTGGATTTTAAACTATTTGAAGACATTTTAAAATTAAATTCCTACAAGTAAACAATTTTCTAGGTATATTTGCACCTAGACCTTATGATATTAATATTTCTTGATAGAAAGGTGACTTCTTGGGGATAAAAAGTTAAGTATATACACAAGCATAAAAATTAAGTATAAAATTTATGTATAAGATAAAAATTAAGAATGTACACAAGCATACACACAAAATTAGTTAAAATTCTTTATTTCAATCACCTTTCAATTACATCAGTATTTCAGGTGTTTCGGATTTCTTTTAGAGTAGCAATTTCTAATCTTTGCTAGACATTAGAATCATTTGAGATGCTAATAAAGAATATTGATAAACAGGCCTCACCCCAAAATGATTGAATCTGAATCTCTGTGAGTGTGACTCCAGCACAAATATTACATACACGTTAAAAGACAAAACTTTTGACCAATTAAATTTAGCAGCATTTTTTTTTTTTTGAGCAAAGAAAAATTCATGAATTGGGCAGCACCCTTAACCAGTAGAATTTCAGAGAGCTCCACCTAGCAGTAGAAGCAGGCAAGTATGTATGGACAAAAAAAAAAAAAGGAAGTAAAATGTGGAAACAGCTTGATTGGTTACAGTTTGGCATTAGCCTTATTTGGACATGGTATGATGAGGCATTTGTCATCTAGGGACATAGTCTGATTAGTTGGCAGTCTGTGATTGGATGCAGTTTGGTTGCTGTGATTGTTTGAGACTCAGCTACTTGTCACAAGAATGTGCTCTTAAGTAATGTCACAGTTTGTTTACACACCAAGTTAGGTTGCAATTTGCTATGTACAGAGCCAAGATAAAGAGGAAGATTAGGCCAAATTTAATGTAATTTAACACACATCTCCTCAGACAATTCTAAAGTACAGGCCAAGTGGAACACTACTACTCTATGGCCAAAGTCATAGATACCAACTTGAACTTCTTGAAAAGTGGAGAAGCTTTTGATTGATTCAAAGAAAGTGAACTGAGAGTCAAATTAACGTTAGAAGGAAATCTATCCAACAAATATGTTGAGACTGCCAATTTGGTACAAAGTTATGAGGTGAGTCAACAGAGATTTTAAGACTCAAGGGTCAAAAGTTGCCATTCCAAAGAGCCTTTCAGTTCAGCCATATTAGTTCATGTGTTTTGTTTTGTTTCTTTTCCCAACTTAAGGCCATAGGAATGCTGAGACTGCCTCGGTTGTCCATGTATCTTCTGACTCCTTTTATTTGGAACATATTTGGAACATAATGGTTGGATTCATCATATGTTCCGTTCTCAGACTAACCAGGTGATCTGGCTTCAAACTCAGCCTACACTTTGAGATGGACACTGGGAGCCTGCCACAGCATCTTCCCCAACAGAATCCTTTGCCAAAGGTTAATCTCAATGCAGAGCTGAAATGACACTGCTAACTCTAAGAACACAGGCCAGACGTAAGCCAAAGAAGGAAATTGGATTCCTCACTTCAGATCTTGACCTCTGTACCTTTCTGTTAAGTGTGAGCACTTTTGCTTTTTCTAATACTCTCTCTTATGAGATGATATGCCATCTGGCTTCAGACTACAACGAATTGTTTTTTGAAAAACTGCGTTCCATAAAATTGTCATCTATTTCTTTAGAATACCTTAGATATTATGGTCATTTCAACTAGTAACTGTGTTTACATCATCTCTGAGAATGGCACACAATTAAGAGAAAAACAGCCAAAGCAGTTCGGTGTTACTGGCTTATTATTTGATGATTTGAAAACATTGCAGCTGGAAAGAATTCCATTAATTTGTGGCTAGCACTGATGCATCAGCCTCAAGATCTTCCAAGTAAACAGAGAGAAATTGGCATTGCTATCTTGTGGCAAGAAGCAAAAAACAGACTGGTACAGAGTTCTCCAAGAAGGAAACATTAACCCAGATGTGAACAAGACAATGAATGAATTGTTCACTGGGGCTTTTCAACCTTTCAGCTGTGAGCAGTAATTACAATCACCAATGCATCCAAATACTCAAAGGAGGCTTAAACCTGAAAATTACTCATCCTGTCCCAGGCACAATTATGTCTCCATAGGTCCATGAAGTACAGGCATCCCAATTTAACTTAGACACTTAACAAATTAAACTTCTCTTTAGGAGAAACCCAGAAAATCATGCTATTCTTAATGCGTGCACACACACACACACACACACAGAAACACACACACCATATTAAAAAGCAATTGGCATCTATCTTCAAGAGTCAACTCTTCATACTCATTGCATAACTGTCCTTTCACTTCTAATCAGAAAGGCAATCCTTTTTCTAATATGGTAAATATAATTTATTTGCAAGTCTACCAGAAAGGATTATAGCTGGCTATTTTAGGCCTCTGACCTCAGTGAGTGGTGTACTATCATAACTTTTTTCTGTCCTGCCAGGGAGCAGAAGTGTTTGTATGTTTTTTTGCTTAGATGGTAAAGTTCTGAATCATGTTTAATAAGTAGCTTAAATAATTTTAAACTATGACTAGATATACAGAAGATCACCTGTATTTTAGAATATATGATTATCCTTTGGCTCCCTTAAGAATTTCTCCATCCTGTAAAGCCCAAATCAGATTGTTTTAATGCTCCTCTTCTTAAACTGTTGTGTTTCTGCATTGTTAATAGTTCAGCCAGAGTGTTTATTCCCATGTGCCATAAAGAAAATTTCTTTCAGTAGAAGTTAGTTTAACCAGCAAATATAAATTGAAACAATTTTAACATCATTTGTATGCATCTTCCATAGAAGTTTCTCTGATGTCACCTTGATACATAGAATGCAAAAACATCTAGACTATATTATCTACCTATCCTCTGGAAACTTTTCCAAAGTTATTAGCTGTTAAAAAAATCAAGTATAGCAAACATCTGTACTGATTTTGCCTAATTAACAGCATGTATAGATTATTTTCAGAATTTAAATTAAGAATCAAGTTAAATATGTATGAGGACATAAGTAAAATGTATGAATACATATTAATCTAGAATGTTTACTAAAAAACAAGCATTGAACTTTTAGAGAAGGAAATAAAATGACTCTTCCAAATACTATAGATTAGGAAAATCCAATGAATCTTAATTTATTTAAATGAGTACTTACTAAACTGGTTCTGATACTATTTTATATTTTAAAACAACTTTTTATACACAAGCTCCTAGTTATAAACATAGTACCATATTGCCTCTCAGCTCATATTCCTGTAAAATAGCTCTTTTAAAGAGAACAGAGTGAAAATCTGAATTCCACGTGCATTTGGTACATGAATTCAAAGCTGTAGGCATAAATGATTTCCCTTTACTTTTATGAGAAAGAACTTCCCTGTGGTAAAAGAGAATTCTCTGTGCTGTTCTCTACAAATTTTCTTTTAAAAAATTCAGAATACTTCTTGCCATTAAATTACCTCATGTGAACCTGATGGCAAGTCAAATAAGCATCTTTTCAATGCTTTTACCCTCAATTAATAAAATGTTGATTTTTAGAAGAGATTTCATGCTCAGGGAGTTTTGTGGAGGGGTCTTTAAATCTGGCTTTCTTCTTAGAAATTGGACATGACACTTTTGTCAGTGGCTATTGCAATTCAGGAATCATGAGCACCAGCATTTCCAAAATTCTGTTTCATACTCAAACCTCATATTTCCAAAATTAAACTAGGCACTCATGTGTCTGAGGAAACATTATGTTAATGATGAATTTATTTTTATGATCTTTGTATAAACTGTGAATATTAATTTTGGTGAAACATCACAACACATAACATTATAGATTTTCATCTGAAGATTATAATATAAAATATAACCTATAAATATTAGAAATTAAGCCTTTTTTCCCTTAACATTCAGTGAGTGAACATTTCTAATATGTCTCTCCATAAGAGTGTATTCAAAAGTATATCCTAAGGCAATGATTTCCACACTTTAGACTGGTGCCCAGTGAAAGAAAACTGTGTTACATTGAGACTCGGTACATGCATACACATATATGTATAATTGGAACATTAAATTTAACAAAAACCTTTCCTTGCTATAAGTCTCGCTCTTATATTTTCTATTTTATTTTATTTCATTTCTCTCTGTTCTTGGCTATTCTATTTTATTTTTCCATGTTGGTTATGGCCCACAATATTAATTTTATGTGCCATCTATGGTTTTCCATCTAGAATTTTAAAAACACGTTTCTAAGAAGAGCTTTGGCCCTGCCTACTTCTGTGCTAGAGGCCGAAAGAACTTCTGTATATACCCATGTCCCCATCAGGCTCCCTAGGTTGTTGAAGACCCTGAAAATATAATTCAGTCCAGTCCAGGCCCTTGGCCGAGAAAATTATAATTCTTCAAGATATAAGATCTTGCCTGTGAGAAGCTACATTTGTGGAGATTGTCTAAAGGGTGGGCAGGTTGTCTGCACAAATGGATAATCTCTGATATCTACTTCTGGATTAAGTCACATCAACAAAACTCATAGAATGATTGTGTCAAGAATCCATCACCATATCTGGAAGATATGGTGAATGGATTGGAGAATCATGCTTCCAGAAGTGTGTCAAATCTAAGGATGTTGTGGTCCAAGGCATCTCAAACTTCAGTGTACACAAATCCCCTGGGGAACATGTTAAACTGCTGATTCTCATTAAGTAAGGATGAGGTGAGCCCTGAGATCCTGCATTTCTAACAAGCTCTAAGGTGAGGCCAGTGCTGTTGGTACGAGGACCACATTTTGGGCAATAAGGGTCTATATGAGATGATAAATTGAGCATTTTAAATTTTTGGAGAGTTCTTGAGATAATTCTTGAATGTTTATTTGGAAGAGTTCTTTTCTCAATCAGTTTCTTTGCATTTGAGAAAAAAACGATATATTTTTGTTAAACTAGATCCATTCCTGGATCCGTTTTATGCATTCCATTGAATTTTCATTAATTTCTTTTTTATTTTGCTTTCTCAAATATTGCTAATTTGCATTCTGATTATCCTTCTCATTTTTGTGTATATTATTAAGAAATGTTTCGTATATCTTAAAATAAGACATCAATGAGAGAGCACTGTTCAAGAGTACAGGATCTATGGAAAAGCTGAATCAGTGTCCCCAGATGCATGGCCTGTGCACCAGCACATCTGTGAGTGGTGCCTCTCACCCACATCTAGTCCTGCTGAACTTTTCATGAATGCCAAATGAGAACCTCTCTTTGGCGGCAAGCTAACTGGCCCATACTCAATATTAGATCCTTAAGCTCCTAGAGTGAGAGAGGAAATATGGAAGGAAAAGCCATCCTCTTCATTCATTTGAGGACATTGGGAAATCAATGAAATTAGCTTGGGATCTCTATTTTCCAAACACCATGGTGGAAAAACGCCACTCCCTCTGTTATATTTTTTAATGAAAGCATGGTTACAATTAGGCAAAAATTATGCATGCATTTGGTTCAAAACATGAAAATAAAGAATCAATTTATTTCTGGCTATTATGGTGGTAATTGCTTTGTTTATAATTCTCTGCTGTGGTATTATCTGCACAAAGAATTAGACTTAAAATGGCTTTCAATTAAGTCTAAATTGATGGTGGACATCAAAAGCTCATAAGTTTTTATTTTAACAAAAAATAAGATGGGTGAGGGAAAGGAACTAGTTGAAAAGAACAGAGAAATGAATTATTGCTAGACACAAACTTCAATATCGTCTTAAATTTTATCAGTCTGCCTTTTCATGGAGCTATCTTTTAGGAAGAAAACTTAAAAATATTTCTATAAGTTAAGTGTATGTCAGCTACGTTTCTGTTCTTAAAAAAAATGACATATTAGAATGCATATATGGGAATCATAAGACAGTCCTCCAAATGCATTTAATCAGATTATTATCAATTTTTGCTGATTCCCACTAAGATCAACATTAGAAAGATACTATCAATTGAGATAATCATGTGGTTTTTGTCTTTGGTTCTGTTTATATGCTGGATTACATTTATTGATTTGTGTATATTGAACCATCCTTGCATCCCAGGGATGAAGCCCACTTGACCATGGTGGATAAGCTTTTGGATGTGGTGCTGAATTCAGTTTGCCAGTATTTTACTGAGGATTTTTGCATCAATGTTCATCAAGGATATTGGTCTAAAATTCTCTTTTTTGGTTGTGTCTCTGCCCGGCTTTGGTATCAGGATGATGCTGGCCTCATAAAATGAGTTAGGAAGGATTCCATCTTTTTCTATTGATTGGAATAGTTTCAGAAGGAATGGTACCAGTTCCTCCTTGTACCTCTGGTAGAATTCGGCTGTGAATCCATCTGGTCCTGGACTCTTTTTGGTTGGTAAGCTATTGATTATTGCCACAATTTCAGCTCCTGTTATTGGTCTATTCAGAGATTCAACTTCTTCCTGGTTTAGTCTTGGGAGAGTGTATGTGTTGAGGAATTTATCCATTTCTTCTAGATTTTCTAGTTTATTTGCATACAGGTGTTTGTAGTATTCTCTGATGGTAGTTTGTATTTCTGTGGGATCGGTGGTGATATCCCCTTTATCATTTTTTATTGCGTCTATTTGATTCTTCTCTCTTTTTTTCTTTATTAGTCGTGCTAGCGGTCTATCAATTTTGTTGATCCTTTCAAAAAACCAGCTTCTGGATTCATCAATTTTTTGAAGGGTTTTCTATGTCTCTATTTCCTTCAGTTCTGCTCTGATTTTAGTTATTTCTTGCCTTCTGCTAGCTTTTGAATGTGTTTGCTCTTGCTTTTCTAGTTCTTCTAATTGTGATGTTAGGGTGTCAATTTTGCATCTTTCCTGCTTTCTCTTGTGGGCATTTAGTGCTATAAATTTCCCTCTACACACTGCTTTGAATGTGTCCCAGAGATTCTGGTATGTTGTGTCTTTGTTCTCGTTGGTTTCAAAGAACATCTTTATTTCTGCCTTCATTTCGTTATGTACCCAGTGGTCATTCAGGAGCAGGTTGTTCAGTTTCCATGTAGTTGAGCAGTTTTGAGTGAGTTTCTTAATCCTGAGTTCTAGTTTGATTGCACTGTGGTCTGAGAGATAGTTTGTTATAATTTCTATTCTTTTACATTTGCTGAGGAGAGCTTTACTTCCAAGTATGTAGTCAATTTTGGAATAGGTGTGGTGTGGTGCTGAAAAAAATATATATTCTGTTGATTTGGGGTGGAGAGTTCTGTAGATGTCTATTAGGTCCGCTTGGTGCAGAGCTGAGTTCAATTCCTGGGTATCCTTGTTGACTTTCTGCCTCGTTGATCTGTCTAATGTTGACAGTGGGGTGTTAAAGTCTCCCATTATTAATGTGTGGGAGTCTAAGTCTCTTTGTAGGTCACTCAGGACTTGCTTTATGAATCTGGGTGCTCCTGTATTGGGTGCATATATATTTAGGATAGTTAGCTCTTGTTGCTGAATTGATCCCTTTACCATTATGTAATGGCCTTCTTTGTCTCTTTTGATCTTTGTTTGTTTAAAGTCTGTTTTATCAGAGACTAGGATTGCAACCCCTGCCTTTTTTTGTTTTCCATTTGCTTGGTAGATCTTCCTCAGGACATAGGCACGGGCAAGGACTTCATGTCTAAAACACCAAAAGCAATGGCAACAAAAGCCAAAATTGACAAATGGGATCTAATTAAACTAAAGAGCTTCTGCACAGCAAAAGAAAC
Source organism: Homo sapiens (assembly GCF_000001405.40). Lineage (NCBI taxonomy): Eukaryota > Metazoa > Chordata > Mammalia > Primates > Hominidae > Homo > Homo sapiens. The sequence continues at coordinate 6,969,741 of NC_000020.11, read as the reverse complement.
TACCAGCAGAGTGAACAGGCAACCCACAAAATGGGAGAAAATTTTCACAACCTACTCATCTGACACAGGGCTAATATCCAGAATCTACAATGAACTCAATCAAATTTACAAGAAAGAAACAAACAACCCCATCAAAAAGTGGGCGAAGGACATGAACAGACACTTCTCAAAAGAAGACATTTATGCAGCCAAAAAACACATGAAAAAACGCTCACCATCACTGGCCATCAGAGAAATGCAAATCAAAACCACAATGAGATATCATCTCACACCAGTTAGAATGGCAATCATTAAAAAGGCAGGAAACAACAGGTGCTGGAGAGGATGTGGAGAAATAGGAACACTTTTACACTGTTGGTGGGACTGTAAACTAGTTCAACCATTGTGGAAATCAGTGTGGCGATTCCTCAGGGATCTAGAACTAGAAATACCATTTGACCCAGCCATCCCATTACTGGGTATATACCCAAAGGACTATAAATCATGCTGCTATAAAGACACATGCACACGTATGTTTATCGCGGCACTATTCACAATAGCAAAGACTTGGAACCAACCCAAATGTCCAACAATGATAGACTGGATTAAGAAAATGTGGCACATATACACCGTGGAATACTATGCAGCCATAAAAAATGATGAGTTCATGTCCTTTGTAGGGACATGGATGAAATTGGAAATCATCATTCTCAGTAAACTATCACAAGAACAAAAAACCAAACACCGTATATTCTCACTCATATTTGGGAATTGAACAATGGGAGCACATGGACACAGGAAGGGGAACATCACACTCTGGGGACTGTTGTGGGGTGGAGGGAGGGGGGAGGGATAGCATTGGGAGATATACCTAATGCTAGATGACGAGTTAGTGGGTGCTGCGCGCCAGCATGTCACATGTATGCATATGTAACTAACCTGCACATTGTGCACATGTACCCTAAAACTTAAAGTATAATAATAAAAAAATAAAAATAAAAATAAATGCTAACTTCAATAGAAAAAAAAAAGAAAGATACTATCAAGAATGAGACTTTAGAGAAGGGAGAATAACATGAACATCTTGTTCTTTTTAGCTTGGAGAAGAGAATAGATTAGCAAGCAGTTGATCTTGTTTCCATTGGAGGAAGAATTGGGAAACAGCATTTGAAACAAAAAATAATTTATCACAATGGAAGAGAATGGAAATTGGAACTGCTAGACTGTAGTATCTTCTGTGAACGGGTAGTACACAGGCTGGACCAGTTTCTCGGTATCATTGTGGGGCTATACCCTTAACAACCTGAGTGCCTTGGGCACAACCTTCCATTTCTGTTTTTGCCAACGAAAGAGGTTAGACTCAGTTGTTAAGACTAGACATATATATCACCTGATGTATCAATATTCTCAAAATACTAGGGTTTTGTTTCTATCCATTTTCGTCTAGCAACATCTTATACTTCATATCACACACACATACACACACACGCAAACACAGAGGCACAGGCATGTGCACCATCATAGCCACAATAAAACAACAGCACTCTCCATATGAATTTAAGAAAGCCTTATACATGTTCTTCATCTATTTTCTCAACTGTAAAATGAGGGTGTTAGATTAGAATAGATGATCTTTATGATCTCTTCCAGCCCTAATGATGTATCAACTAAGTGACATCAGAACAGGAAGGGAGCATGTGGGAAAGGTGCCTGTGGCTTGTAAACATAGGACACCATGAGCCCCATGAAATCGTCCTGACCTTATGTTGAGATCTCTAAGATTCTCTGTGGCCCATAAATCCAGTGAGTACTGCATTGTAAGCCTTTTGTAAGTGTTTTCATATATACAAAAAAAATACTCTGAAAGTTTAGCCATATTGAAAGTGAACCACCTGTTTCCATTTGCAGTTACTTGTGGCAGACAAATCATCAATTCAGATGCACAATAAGAAAGGCTGAAGAAGTCTAAGAAAAATATCACATTTGGCCAAGAAAATGATCTTGTTTAAGAATGTTTGAAAGACAAGGAGAATAATCAGCCAGAAATCAGGCATCTAGTATTTCTTGGTTTTTAAAATTCAGATCATTCATTTATTCAAGTATTTATTGAGAACATCCTAAGTTCCAGGCAGTGTTTTAGGCCCTAGAGATATAGAAGTGAACAAAACAGAGCCCCTGCTCATAAGCTTACATTTCATTTTTTGTGCACATACATGAATGTCTGCATGAAACCTAGCATAAACATACAGAAAATGATGGAGATAAGAGATCCCTCTGATAAGATGACATTTGAGCAGAGGCCTGAATCCCAGTGAAGGATTCAGCCAATATTTGCAGAAGAGTATTTCAGGCAGAATACTATTTAAAAGCTTGAGGTAAGAAGGTTGTGTGCTTGACATCAGTGGGGCTGGCTTGTCCGGGATGAAACAGAATATGTTGACTTCAACAGTGTGTTGGCCCTGGGATAAAAAAATGTGTAGCCCATCTTTAAGTGTAAAAAGAATTGTTTTCTTTCATGTAATAGTCTGATCTTTAGGGAAAAAACTTAGTTCTTTACTATCATATATATTTATATCTCTTTGTGGATCTATGAACACTGGCATATTCAAACTCTGAAATCCACATACTTCCACTTCCCTCTGTGAAGTCATTTTGTTATTTCCACCTCAGAAGTAATATCCTGGCTTTGTCAAATGGTCGCTGGCCTAGTAGTCCTTTAGTTTGGTATCTTGGGTCTACATCTTATTTAAAAACAAACAAAACTCTACAGTAGTGCAAATGAAATCAGATGATTTAAAAATACATGTTCTAGACCAGCACTAGCAATTGTGTAAGATCAGATCTGTGAGTCAATGTTAACTTATCTGATGATTCATGCATAAAAATTATCTACTTAATGATAAACAGATAATATATCTTGTACATTGAGATAAATTATTTCACTCATGCAACCACATAGTCCTTGAACATTAGAAATTGCTTTATAATTTAAATGTGAGCTGCCAATTCCTCCATTGCCCCTGTATTATTTTCCTAGGAGCACCATAACAAAGTAGCAAAAGCTAGGTGGCATAAAACAATAGAGTTTATCATCTCATACCTTTGGAGGCTAGAAACCCAAAATTAAGGTATTGGCAGGGCCATGCTTTGTCTGGTAGTTCTAGGGGAGAGCCTTTCCTTGCCTCCTTTAGCTTCTGGTGTTTAACCTGCAACCCTTGTCATTCCTTGGCTTATGGATGCATATCTCCAGTCACATGACCATCTTCTCCCCATGTAATTTTACATCATCTTTCCTGTGTCTCCGGTTTTGTGTTCAAATCTTGCTTGTTTATAAGACAGCCAGTCATATTGATTAGAGTCTACCTTAATGACCTCATTTTAACTTGATTACCTCTGTAAAGCCCTATTTCCAAATAAGTTTACACTCTTAGGTACTGGGGGTCAGAATTTCACCATCTCGGCATTTCAACTCATAGTACCAAATGTGATCCCCTAAGGGTGTCATTCATCACAGAGCAGAAAAGACATTTAGCTCATCGCTTCATACCTAGTTAGTGCTCAATCAGTAAATGGTGGTTTTTATATTATTAATTCTTAGTATCTAGAATCCAGAAATCAGGTCTGATGTTAGTTCCTAAATATATGACTCATACATTGTATCAGTTAGCTATTTCTGTGTAACAAACCACCACCAGATTCAGTGTTTTAAAACCATCAGTGTTTATCATTGGGCACAAGTCTACCAGTCAGCTGCGTAGTTCTTGCCTTGACTGCTTTCACTCATTTGTCTGTGGTCAACTACTCAGTTGGTTGGAAACTGGCTAGTTTAGGATGCCCTCAGCTACAAAAACTTATCTCTGCTGAATGTGGTCTCTCATCTTCCACAAGCCTAGTTTAGACTTGTTTAACAGTGGTTGGGTAGGGTTCTGCCACGTGGTATAAAAATGCACAAGGCCCTTTGAAGCCTAGGCTTGGAATTGGCACACGGTCACTTCTCCTGTATTCTTCTCTTGGCCAAACAAGTCACAAGGTCAATCCAGATTCAAGGGCTGGGGAGATAGACTTCCCTCTTGATGGGCAGAGCTAAAAGTTTACATTGCAAAGAGATCAGATATAGAGAGGGGCAAAGAATCAGGATATTTTTGTGACCAATCTAATGTATTTATTATATAACCATTACCAAAAAAGAAAAAAATCTGCATGTTACCAATAAATGTCTTCATCTTCATTAGTTGGGCTTTTAGCCTCATTTCTTAAGTCCATGAGGACTCACCTTCTATTTTAACACTGGTGTATGTATGGTCGTAAATTAAGCCTATAGTCAAACTATAGACTTACTTCCTTTTATTGTCCGACATTTGTAAGCCAACCATAATATTCTCCACCCCTGAATACTCTTGACTGTTGACCAGATCTTACTGTCCAATATCTCTTTCAGCAATCTAGGAAAAAGACCTACATCTTGACCATTTCAAGAACTTATTCCCCTGGAAAATTAATGGTGAGCTAAAGGATATGGGAAGAAGTGATAAGGGAATTGTTTTAAACCCCACTTTGATTTCTGTAAAGGGTCTTGTGCTTTCCTTAACCCCACACATTCATTGGCATCTGTACGACAAATCTTCCACTTTCTTTTTGAATTAAAAATTAAGATTCTCAGGGGAAATTATGCAATGGGAAGTTGACACCTCAATAAACTTGGCTCACACATTTTATTGATTATCATAAATTGAATTATTGCAATAAAACTTGGGAAAACCAAAAAAAATTACCCTTTCAAGCTCCAGTGGTATATATTTCTTTCGATTAGGGTAATACCTGCTTGATTGTAATGTACTTTCTGAAAAGTAATAAATAAATCAGGGAAACATTCCAAACTAAGTTTCTCTCAGTTGTCTCACAAAAACTTTGATGGCTTTTTAAGCATTTTCACAAACTTATGGACACTGAATATGATAGCAACACTTAAAGTACTCACTCAAATGAACATTAAACTTAAAACATAAGGCATAACAATTTTAAACTAAAAACAAATTCAAATGACGTACTTGCTGCCACAAAAACTGGATTCTGGACTCTTTTTCTTTTACTGACTTTTTAAAATTAAAAATACTTAGGTTGTGCCTAATGGGGATCTTTTTTTTCCCTTTTTGGCAATTGCCCTAAGCCTGATGAGCTGTAAAAAGCAGGCCCTTGGACTTAGAAAGCTTCATTTCACTTCTCTTCTTGAGACTGGCTGGCATATGGTTTCTCTGCCTTCTGGCCTGTCTCCTTCCCTCAGCCTCTTACCTTCAGTAGGTTATGTCAAGAGGCCATGCCCCAAGGTTGGGAGTAAGGCTGACAAACAAGGTCCACTAAAGTTCAGGAGACCCCTTTCTTTCAACAGGGTTGGAGTTTCAATCCACAGCATGATCTAAGTTCTTATTTATCTTTGAAACACAAATCATTTTGTTTTTTTCCTTTCTGGAATAAAATTAAAACCACAACGGAATTTAATTTTATTGACTTTGTGACAAATAAAAGAAATAAAGAAAACCCTTCAAACTACTCTAGATATTTAGATGTGAAATGTCAAAAATAAGTTTTTAAATTTTGAAATATTTTCCAAGGAAAATAACTATGTAGTACAGGTCATCTATTCAAGACTTGGTTAAGATACATTTGTCATTACTTCTCTAATCCCTCAAACTTTCTACCCACAATATTCCTTTTGCCTGTTTCTCAATGAGGCATTTTTCAATAAGGTAAATAATGAGAAATCAGTGACAACAAACTGGAGCAGGATGCAAGGTATGAAGGGCGTTTGTATTACTTGCACGCTGCGAGGTGCAGTAGAAAGTCCAAGCATAGATAGACTCCATTCCTAGGTCTACCGCCTATTCATTGTGAATCCTTAAGGAAGTTACTTAGCATTTCTAAACTTCAATTTAACTCATCCATAACAAGGGAATAATGAATGAGTATAAAATAATTTGAAAAGCATTTTGCATGTGATAAAGTGGTATGAAACTATTATTTGCTGAAACTATAAACTGTTGTGAGCTCTAAAGATGGACTCTGACAATGGAGGATCATTTACGACAGCAGAACAGAAATTATGCACATGGAAGCAAGCTTCACTCTCCAAAGTCAAGACAAAACAGAGTCTTCTTGTGCTTATCGTAAAAATACTGAAATGGGTTGGATTCTTCAAGGAAATTACAAAATAACTCAATACTTAGTTTGGTTTTGGAGATACCTTAGAGGCAAATGAATAGAACTTGATCTATATCATTCTAATTAAAAGAAAACCAAAATTGGCAATTTAGGCTGAGGTTCTCAAATACTGGTTTCGGTTGCTTCTCCTTGGCATCTATCACCTGATATGTGAAAAGGTTCTTAATAAATATTTTGGACAAATTAAGATCCAATACTAAATACTTTACATTTTAACAGTAATTTCTATTAATTCAAGTCATCTTTTGTTCCCTCTCTCCTCTACTTTCAATTTTGATATTCTTAATTGGGGGATCATATGTGAGAGTCTCAAGATTCCTACAGGTTAAAAGTTTTGCAACATGTATTCCTTTTCAGGGTGCTACAAACATAAATGTGAAAAGACCGTCGTTTTCATAACTCAGAATTTCAGAATGCTTCCTGGATAAGGTAAAGTGCTAGTGAAATATTCTGCCTTTGTCAGAATAGGATGTTGGCTTTGAGGAGGAAATTGAATATTTCTCTCTGAAGTTTAAGATGAGGCAACAATCAAAAGTCAATGTCAAATAGATTTTTAAAATTTTTTATACTCCTACATAAATTTCAAAAGAAATTCCGTTAATTTCATTGGAGATTCAAATGAAAAATAAACCACAAATTTATAATAATATTTAAAATCAGAAGAAACTGCTCCAGCCTTTGTACCTATCAGTGACTCTTCCTCCTCAGTCGCCTTGCTAACCACATATACCATTAGTGCTATTTAAATTTTATATTTCTCTTCTTTTTTTTTTTTTTAGTGAAGCCGCGACCTCTGCCTCCTAGGTTCAAGTGATTCTCCTGCCTCAGCTTCCTGAGTAGCTGAGATTACAGGTGTGTGCCAACATGCCTGGCTCATTTTTGTATTTTTGGTAGAGATGAGGTTTTGCTGTGTTGGCCAGGCTGGTCTCAAACACCTGACCTCAGGTGATCTACCCACCTCGGCCTCCCAAAGTGCTGGGATTACAGGCGTAAGCCACCATGCCTGGTCTATATTTCTCTTCTTATGTCATCTTCTCCCACTACATTTGTCCTCCTTTTTGGATAACTGGTCACTGCAGCAAATCCCATGCTTCTCATTGCTTGTCCACACAGAAAAAGAGCCTAATCAAAAAATCTCTGCTCCCTCTCAGCAGACCAAGGAGTGTTCCTATTCTTATTATCTAGAATACCAGGAATAGCAATCTAAATGTGGAGCAGCACCATCCCTTTTTTTCCCTACCTAAGACATTGTTCCACCTTACCATAAGATGCCATTAAAACTTGCCCACTTGCTTATTATGAAACGCGTAACTCAGAAATGAGTAGCACATAAGTCCAGACGAAAATGCATCACAACAACTGAGCCGTGAAGACACCACTGGTCTCCTTTTCTGTGAATACTGTTGGATTCCTAGGACTTCTTGGAATGAATCAAAGTAAAATGACTTTATAAAACTTTCATGGTAGAATCAGACAAAATAATAAGCAGAGCGTTTCAGCTAAATTGCCCTAATGTATTACTGTCAAGAACCCTGTTAGTCTTCAAATCCAAATTATCTGTTCAAATCCAGTTGCTCCTATTTATGCAGAGTCCTTTTCAAAGTTTCTTGGAGGTCTGGGGTCAGAAAAAACCAGGGGGACATGGAGGAGTAGAATAATCAATCTCTAAAAAACCAGTGACATTTCTGATATTGTTGAAATACATTATTTTGTGGTGAAGACTAAATACCATGTGATGGTGTTAATGAGATGTTTCTGTCCCATGAGCCATATAAAGGACATGCCCTGCTGGCCCTTTCTACTAGACATTGAAACTCAGGTTAACACCATTTTCATGGCGGGTCTTCTTTTGTAGCTCTATTGTTTTGCTTCCACATTAGCTGTTTTTTGTCTTGGAGCAAGTCGAGAAAAACAAAAACCATCACATTCCCTGTGGTGCCCTCTCTGCATGTGTGGAGCTGCTTTGAGTTAAGTGTCTCCAGTTGGTATGTTAGATTGGCCATGGGCCACTCGGTACCTCCACAATGCCTCAGGAAATGGTTATTTTTTTCATCCTCTTTGGATGAGGAAAGAGAGTCTATGACCTCCCCCATTAATTCCTTCCAAGACCTTAAAGTGATTGTTTTACTTCTAAGGCTCTTACTTTCTACCTTTAAAAAATAAAATAAACAAACAAACATGTCTCTTCTAGCTCATGTCCTGGACTATTCTGAAGTTTGATTAAGTTATGAGAAGTGTTTTGGAAATCATAAAGATGTAAGTAAATGCAAGACATAATCATATCACCAGGTCATATTCACTTCCTGTCAGTGTTATATTATTTAGTCTTATTATATGGGATTAGCCACATTCTGTGTGTTATTAAAATCTTGTGGTGTCTATCATCATCTGTTGAAAAGAATTAAACCCTTTCAACATAATAACATTTCAATTAGTTTTGTGTAGTTTACCTACTCTTAAACCAGTTTACCTACATTACACTTCTTTGTATATTTCCAAACTAAATATTTTAACCCTACTTTGTCTTTCTCTTCAAAGTATGTGGACTAATTTTTATTAGTCTGAGAACCCATTTACTTCCCTTGGATTAGAACCACTTTCAACTGCTTATTCATATTCTGATGAAAGTTTAGTAGATGGTATTTCTACATCCTACCCCCTCTTTCTGTGTCTGCTCATCATCCTATTTTCTCATTTTCCTTCAAATTTTTACACATCTACCGGATTGCTCCAGAATTTTCTCACCTACATCTTGAAGCTCACTTCCTGGTAAGAGGTTCAGGGACTATTTCAGGTCCTGAACCTCAACCTTTTAGCCACTTAACAACTCCAGCTCCCCAGCTGTCTAACTCATCTTTGTAGTTATATACAATACAGATTATTCACAACTTCATATGGAAGGTATTTCTGTCCTACATTTTTAAATTTAGGGACCTCATTTGAGTCATATTGCTCACTAATTAGTGAAATAAGGGATAAGGTCCAGATAAGGGACCAATGTGGAAGATCAGGTACAAATATTTTCCTGGATGTCAGAGTGCAGATATGTATACTTCTCCCATCATTACAACAAAAAGAAATTACACTAATGATTATTTCAGGGGTAAATTTGCCTCTCAAATTCTCCAACCCTTAAGGATATTGACACATATGCCAGTGTTACTTACTCGAGTCACCTCCAATAAGAGGAATTTATTGGAGTATACTAACTAAACACCTAGGATCTTTTATGTGCCTTGGATAGGAAACAGACTATTGAGTCATCCAAGCTGCTTGATTTTGCAGTTATAGGTGTCAGTTACTAAAGTGCTGTGATATCAAGCACGTGCACATGGAGAGCATACTGTTGAGTATTTTTATAAGGAATTAGTCAATGTAATTGTGGGCTGTAAAGAGATTGTTACACAACCTCATTATAGGTTGTAAACACTTCATCACATGACATCTTTCCATGTCATAAATACATCATCAGCGACCATTATGTTCTCTAATGATGACTTCTTGCATACATTCGTCACACAAAAATGAGTAAATACCATAAGGAGAGCATAATCTGTGCAGTTTTTCACTGCTATGATAACTCCATCTGTAGAATTTCTTATGGCATGCTGTTTATTTACATAGTCTGTCAAACAGCATAAAGATAAGGATACTTGCTCTTTGCTCTTTATTCTTAAAACCACTTTTGGCTAGAGGTAATAAAATCTGACCTGACCTGTATGGTTTAGAAAATTATATTTTTAAAAAAAGGAAGAGAAAACGACAAAAAATAGGGGTGGTAGGGGGAGAAGGAGGAGAAAAAAATGGAAAAGAGCAAACCACTTACAGCTATTTAAAATAATTGTGTGATATAGACCTTTTTATGTTTGTGTGTATATGAGTTGATTCTTTTAGACATGTTTGACTTTAGACATGCTTGGCAATTGGTTTACATAAAGTAGTAGAACTGACAGCTCCCTGTGCCCAGGGTTAATTTCAACTTCTTTAAAATTAAAATACTAATATCAGTTTATTTCTCCAGGGCCACATGTTGTATATTTTCACTAATTAGCAATTTTCACCTTTGTGCACGACTCCTCCCTAATACTCATGCCTTAGATTATAGGATACAGGAGGACATCTATAAAATTAGACTAAAGCAATCATTTCCAAACTTGTTTTATGAAGCCATGGGTTATGTTTTTGTCCCCAACGTCTCTAATAGAAATAGGTTGGTGGGCCAGGCAGCCTCAACAACCCATCCTACCTCAACCATGGAAGCTCCACTTTCATATGTTTTTAAAATTTGGGCATCAGAATATGAAATCCACTAGAGTAAATGATACACATGTTTATTTGAGCCCTAATCTGCCATGGTGTCTTATTTTTGTGGACTGCCAGCGGTTATCATGGGATAGTGGTGGTAGGCAGCAGGAGATTGGCCTAGGCCTCTCATTGATTAAAACATAAAGTTTAGACTTTTGATCTTATCACCAAGTTAAGTCATATACAGTCAATGTGTTTGTGTGTACCCATGTATATGTGCGTTAACTGTTTATTTGTTAGACACAGGCATTTAAAATATACCACATTTTAATAACCCTGAGTTGGCATTTCCTCATTTTAAAATGTACTTGGGCTCTCAAGCCATAAGAATTTCTTGTTCATTTCTTTACCTCGGAGGAATTCTGATGATTACCCTGCAATACAGTGGTAAAATCCATGCCACGGCTTCTACCTGCAGGTCTAGGAAAGCATCTCTAGGGGTTATGAACTTCCTCTGTTATTAAAGGATTCTCTAGCACCAAGTGGGTTCTGAGGTAAGACCCGCAGAGATCACTTCACTAGGTTTCTTCATTTAATTCCCACAATAGTCCTATGTAACTACTATTATCTCAACTTTCATATGAGGAAGGTGAGGCTTAGAGAGACTAAACAAGACAGTAAGTGACAGAATGTTATTCCAACCCAGGCAGGCTACCCCCAGAAACCAAGATCTTAACTATTAAGTCAGATTTACATTAAAGTTAATACAAATTACTGCTTATTTCACTTTGAAACATATTAGAAATGACCAAGAATTAAATAACTCAAGAGGAACTACTTACTTTTTGTTGTTTATATACTATTATTTTAGTGTCTCTGATTGAGGATGGCTAAATAAAACAAAAAAAATTTTAACTTAATTTCCTAAAATTTATGAACACACACATGCATATACATAAGACACACACTATATACATGAAATTATCTACTCTTATACATACACACATATATAAAATGACATAATAATATAGTAAAATAATTCATGTAAGAGAATTCATTTTGATGTAGCATGCAAACATCTGACTGAAAAGAAGTAGAAAGGTCAGAATATATTTTATAAAGAACGCATAAAATTGAATAACAACAACAAAGCCCAATTCAAAAATTGGCAAAAGAAATGAATACACATTTATCCAAGGAAAATGTACAAATAGTTGATAAGCACATGAAAAGATGCTTAACCTCACTAACTTTTATGAACATGCAAACCAAAACCCACAATGAGATGCCCTTCATATCCATGAGGGTGGGCATTATAAAAGCAGAACCAGACAAGTGTGGACAAGAATGTAAAGAAATTGGAACATTTGTGCACTGTTGATAGAAATGTAAAATAATGCTACCACTGTAAAACACAGTTTGGTAGTTCCTCAAAAATTTAAACACAAACTTACCATATAATAGACTAATTCTACTTGTGGATATGTATGCAAAACAATTGAGAGTAAAGATTCAAATGGATGCTTGCATGTCAATGCTCATAGCAGCATTATTCATAATAGTCAAAAATGATAACAACTCAACTGTCCGTCAACAGATGAATATGTTTTTGAAAAAATCCAGGGGTATATTCATACAATGGAATATTATTCAGCCATGAACAGGAATGAAATTCTGACACATGGTGCAGAATGCTAGAGAATGAATGAACCTTGAAAACATTATGCTAAGTGAAATAAGCCATACATAAAAGGAGAAATATTTTGTGAATTGACTTATATGAGGAACCTAAAATAGTCAAATTCACAGAGACAGAAATTAGCGCTGTGATTGCAAAGGGCTGAAGGAAGGGAAGAATAGGACTTATTGCTTAATACATAGCAAGTCTCTGTTTGGAAATAATAAAAAGTTCTGGAAAAGAATAGTAGTGACAGCTGAACAACACTGTGAATGTGTTTTAATGCTACTGAAGTGTACGCTTAAAAGTGGTAAAAGTGATACATTTTATGTTATATATATTTCACTACAATAAAAATTAATAAAATAATCAGTAGTTCTATTAAAGATTCCTTTTGAAATAGTAAAAATAATATCTTCCAATTCGTAAAATCTTTTTATTACATTCTGGCCATATCATTGGCCAGGATACTTCTAATTGGGAAGTTCAGCTCTTCACTGAATAAAGAAATCTTGATCTACCTCACATAGTCTACTTGCTTGTTCTCTGTACATTTAAATTATAGTGTTACCACGAAGAGGGAAAATTATACCCTAAGAATAGGTTCATTCACTATGTACTGTCTATAACACATTTATAGCTGCATTCTTCCCCCACAGTACATGAAAAGAGAGGAAAAGAGAGAGAGAGAGAGAGATTGAAAAGCATCCAGAAATGAATCATATTGAAAGTTAATAGCCTTTCTCATTTTTCATGCATCCTTAAACTCGAAGAGGTAAACCTGAAGGACTGTATCATAGCTCTACACTTCCCAGTGGTGACAGACGAAAATAAAGTTTGACTCAGCCTAACAGGAAAAGTCTGACTCATTAAATTCAAAGCCCTGACTCTCTGCAGAAGGTGTTTGGAGGAAGCCCTTGATGTGTTGATCCCTAAAAGAGAAGACTAGCAGGGGAATGATCTCACCCACCCACCACGCACTGAAGGAAAAGATGAATGAACCCATCACTATGTTGATATTTCGAGGATCTCAAAATACGTCTGTTGATATTTAAGGAATATGTTTTAAAACAATCCCCATTTAGAATTTATAAGATCCAAAGGTAATTCTGTCATATGCAGATTTCTTAGCTTGCTTTCTCTAAATATCATTGCCCAAATACCCCAGATATTCTTGACTGTATATGTAGACAATCATGGGAGAAAATAATTTACTAAAAATGGTCTAAATCCTGTTCTATCTCCCCATGGCTTTTTGTGTCTACATTAAGGAGAATAAGAACTATCCATTCCTGTAGCTTCTTTCACAATAAGGGAAAGAACAGGGGGAAGTAAATAAAAAGCTTTGCTCTATCTTACGTAACTTGAGGGAACTTGCCTAAGAGAAGGCTTCTCTGTTAACTCTGGTGAGTTTTGCAGCCTGAGGAATGGACAGATGTGATAAGCCAGCACAAGAAAAAGAAGTTCAACTCTCCACTCACACACACATTCTCTCTTTCCAGTTTCTCCTTTCTTTTTGCCACCTGGCTATTCCTGTCCAAATCCACTGACTCCCAGCTTCAGTGCGTAGGGAAAATGTACCCTCTCTCATAAAACCACCTCATTCTTTCACAAGAAGAATCCTTCTTAAAATACCAGGAATTCTCACCAAAGTTTTCAGAAGTATAACAAATTAGAATTATCATGGAAACTACAGTAAAACAAAATGGACTATTTAGCTTCAGTTCCAGGCCAAGTCAAAGAGAAGAGGTTTGCAGGGCCCCAGGCTAACTACATTCTCTGCTTTCCTTTCCACGTACACCTCAAATTAGAGAGTGGCTAAAGGAGCCTGCCTCCCAGGGAAGGGGAGACAGTGGTGCTATAGGCATTGCTGGAACGTTTCAGGAGGACTGACTTGGAGTAGGGGTATTCTTTGAGGGGGGGTGGGGTTGGGGGTTTGAGCAAAAGGAACAGTGCATGTTTAATGAGTTCAAACCTCTTCCACACATTAAGTAAAATATTTTAAAAGGAAACAATATTACTCAAGTTTTATTTGTTTCAGCTACTTGGTTACAACTCCACATGGACACAATTAATGGAGGAAATAGAATATTTTATAAGCCCAAGACTCTCCCTCAATCTGTGACCAAGAGAATTTCTTTGCCTTAATCACTAGGCATTTTTTTGGGATGGCTATATATTGCCAAAATAATTATATCCTAAGCTTCAGAAAAGATTTTGCCTAGTTACTCCCTAAAAAGTTATAATGGTTCTTCCTGTGAGAAAATCAATAATAAACTTGGGGCTCTTTTGCAATATTTGCATGTGTATTTTAGCAACTCTTAATATTGCACTATTTCACATGTGCACGTACACACACATGCACACATACACATGGGTCATTGAAAGCAATGTTTCCTGTTAATCCAAGAATTGATGGGCAGACAGAATGACCTGAAAGCCCTGTTCCCAGGAAGTGAATCCCTTTCTCCAGCCTAGATGCTGTTGCTTACCAATAAAAAACAAATGGCTTTTAATTGATTGTGCAAATAATTAAACATTCTGGATACTGGACACGTTAAAAAGTAAAAGAAAGAAAGCAAAAGCAGCAAACAAATTCACTCATTTTGCCCAAATGTTAAGGAAGAGAAAACTAACCCCAGAAGTAACTGAGTGTACAAAAGCCTGTAAAGTTTACAGGAACAGAATGCTGGAGATAATAATTCATAAAGACTTTTCTGTTGGTTCTCTTTCAATCAGGTGGAGTAATGAAAGAGATTTCACAAAATCCCAAAATCAGTTTCTCAGAGCTTTCACAATTCTAATTGCTGAACATAAATTGTTTGACGATTTTTTTCCCTTCTGCCAAGGATAATCTTAAATATAATATGTGTCCTTTATTTTTCTTCTTTTACAGCCAAAGAAAACCAGAGTACAAGAGCTCTGGTTAAAGCGTGATGAAGGTGAAGTGTCAGCAATACCGGAGCAATTGAGATACGCTAGGATCTCATTGTGAGTATTACCCTCACATGTGATTCCATCCTCATGTTTTGTTCAGACACCATAAAAGGCAGCCAGTCCCAGGCCATCCGTATAGACTGTGTGAACATTCCTAATCTCTGCACAGCATGGCAAAACAAATAATCACTCCATTCACTTTGTTTCTGCTCTTCCCTTCCCTCCACCCTATAAATATGGTTTATTGTATACATAGCTTTTAGGGTCAAGTATTAATGGTGAGAACCATTAACAGGGCAAAGGTCAGTGGCTCCTGACTTCAGTGACCCTTAAATTTAATCTAGCGTGGCAGAAATAAAATTACATGTGATGAACTTACAAAGTGTGATAAAACCTGCTTTGCCCATACAATTGGGAGGCAACAGAAGAATGAAAAAATTTTAAACAGCAAAATCTTACTTGGGGATCTAGTGATAGCCCCAGAGTTAAAGGTTGACATTCATAACCAACTGCCATCCTTGAGGGCCAAATTCTGACATCTTTAGAATATCACATGGTTTCTGGGCTCCAGCAACCTTTCTGGAATTTTATCAAACACACACTCGTCTTTATTTTTATTTAGCTTTAGGTTTACTTCAATAAGAGAGATAAGATTGCATTTTGGAAAATATAGAAACGAATTTATTTAGCCCAGCTGAACTTGATCTTTCAAATCAGTCACACTTACACATACTTTTTATATCTTTTCAAATTGAGTGCTGGGTATTTTAGTATTTTGTCTTTCTCTTTGTCCACCTGTTTTCATTTAAGTATATCAATTATTGTCCCCTAAGATTTGAAACATCATTTCAATTTTTACATTTTTAAAAAATGCTAACTATACAATTTTTTCTGACTTCCTATTATTATCATTTCTCTTCAGTAATTCCTTTCCCAACATTTTTCAGCTTATTCTAAGACCAACTTCCAAGAGTCTGATTGATTTAAGTATGATTTCCTACTTTTTATTTTGAAATAATTTTATTATTTCAAATATTTAATTTCAATAATTTAAAAGTTACAAAAATAGTACAGATAGTTCTTACATACCATTCATACAGATTTCCTAAATCTTGAACAATTTATAACTTTAGAATTTAATCATCAAAATAAGGAAATTGATATGGTTAAAAATATTAACTAATTAGAAGAATTTATTCAAATTTCCCCAGTTTTCCGCTAAGGTTCTTCATGTCTCCTTCATATTTTCAGGTTTGTGCCAGTTGCTCCATCTTTCCTTATTTTTTATGATTTTTGGTGTTTTTAAGTAATTATTTTATAGTTTATCTTTAGGTTTGGTTTTATTTTGTTTTCCCTGTGATTAGACTGCTGTTATGCACTTTTGTCAAGAATAGCACAAATGTGATATGGTGCCCTTCTCTGTGCTTCATACTAGAGGTAGGTGATGTCAACACATCTTATGACTGGTGATGTAAACCTGGATCATTTTGTTTTACTATGGTGTCTACTGGATTTCTCTGCTCTAAAATTACTCCTTTTTCCTTTATAATTAATAAGTATCTTGTGGGCAGATACTTTGAGACTATGCAACTATCTTGTTTCTAGTCCTTTTTCCTCCATACATCTTAGCATCCATCAATGGTTCTTGCCTGAGATAATTATTATTTGTGATTGCTTGATGATGACTTTTTAATTTTTTTCATTCCCTCTATATTTGGTATTTGGTGGTTTAAATTCTTTTTTTTTAAGACAGAGTTTCACTCTTGTCGCCCAGGCTGGAGTCCAGTGGCATGATCTCGGCTCACTGCAACCTCCGCCTCTTGGTTCAAGGGATTCTCCTGCCTCAGCCTCCCGAGTAGCTGGGATTACAGAAGTGAGCCACCACACCCAGCTAATTTTTGTATTTTTAGTAGAGACGAAGTTTCGCCATGTTGGTCAGGCTGGTCTGGAACTCTTGACCTCACATGATCTGACTGTCTCGGCCTCCCAAAGTGCTGGGATTACAGGTGTGAGCCACCACACCCAGCCTAGTGATAGAAATTCTACAGTAAAAAAGAGCTGTCCTTTCTCCTTTTTTATTATTTGGCTATTTATTTGTGTTACTTCCATGGATACTTGTTTTGTTCTGTGTGTTATAACTTAATATATCATGTTTTGGGCTCATACTAGTGCCAGTTTTTGCTGAGAACTCCTACTGGGTAGATTCTGTGTCCTTTTACAAGCGGCCTTTTTTTTTTTCTTTCTTTAATAAAAAGCACTTTCTAACTTTCTGTCACCAAGAGAAGTTCCACATTCATCTGGTATTTTCTCTACCCTATCCCTGAAATTAACCAAGGAGTCTATCTTTTTTATTGGAGAATAATATTTAGAAACTAAGATCTTGATGGAAGGCATGCTGATTGCTGCCCAAGTGCCATTGCCTCTAGGCCCTTGCAGCAGTTAAAGGTAAAAAGTCATCTGTATATGTACCCGCACATACACAAACATGTATATTTATTTATCTATCCACCTGTTTGTGTGCATATGTGTATGTGTGTGAGTATATATAAACAAACATAAATTCATACTGATCCTATAACTTCAATCCAGCACCACAGCCTTCCCTCTTTCCTTGTGTGTATTTTGTTTCTCTGATAGGGAGAAACCCAGCTCTCAGTATCCACAATATATTTACTCATTTGTTCAATCCTAGTATACATATAAAGTAGTTCCAGAGCTGCTAACCTATACATATGTCAGAAACAAATTTATTAAGTAGAGAAGAATATTCGTAGATAGTGCTTTTTGTCTTTTACCTTAACTTTGCAGACTAAATATTGTCATTTTAAAGCTACTCAGCTCATTTCTTCTCCCTTTCTTCTCTGTGATTATGCATTCATTTGTTATTGTTTGTATTCCAGAACACACAGACACACACAGACACACACAGACACACACACACACACACACCCCATACATAACCAACCAGCCTTTTTATTTTCTGGTTTATCCTTCCTGTATCACTTTTTGACACAAATCAGCAGACACATGCATATTTTACAATATCCTCTTGTTTCTTACATGAAGTGTAGCACACTACAGGCATCCTTAATGCTTTGTCTTTTTCACTTAACAGTGTTTCCTGGATGTCACCACATATCCATTTTTAGAAACCATCCTCATTCAGCAACACAGCTGCACAGCAGGACTTCACTGTGGGGCTGCACCACCATTTCTTCAACTACTGTACATGAGCATTTAGGTTGTTTGTAATTTTTTTTTTTTTTTGAGACGAAGTTTCACTCTTGTCGCTCAGGCTGGAGTGCAGTGGCACGGCCTTGGATCACTGCAACCTCCGCCTCTCAGAATCAAGCGATTCTCCTGCCTCAGCCTCCTGAGTACCTGGGATTACAGGTGTCCACCACCACACCCGGCTCATTTTTTTTTTTTTTTTTTTGTATTTTTATTAGAGACGGTGTTTCTCCATGTTGGGCAGGCTGGTCTTGAACTCCTGACCTCAGGTGATCTGCCCACATTGGCCTCCCAAAGTGCTGGGATTACAGGTGTGAGCCACCACACCCAGCCATTTCTAATATTTTTAAATCACAAACAATGCAGCAGTGAACAATCTTCCCTGCAATTATTTTTGTATTATTGGAAATGTATCTTCAGGATAGACTCCTAGAGGTAGGATTGCTGGGTGAAGAGATAAGGGTTCATGCAGTTTTCTTAGATATTGCCAAGTTTCCTTCCAGAAGGTCCCTCTAATTTGCATTGCTACCAGCAATGTAAGGGGTGGCTATTTCCCCAGAGCCTTGCCAACGGAATGTGTTGTCCTATTTTGAAATTTTCGTCAATCCAATAGATGGGAAAAAGCATAATTTTAATTTGTGATTTTCTAATTATGAATAGATGTGAGCTTTTTTAATATTTTAAAGGCTATTTTTATTTTCTTTATTGTGAATTACCTGTTTGTATCTATTGCCATTTTTCTATCAGGTTTTTAGAACTCTGCTCCATAATTTATAATATTTCTCTGATATTGGTGATATTAACTATGTCTGTGGTATGTATCATGAACTCATGAGTATTTTCCTCCAGCTTTTACTCATCTTCTGACTTGTTTATAATTTTTTTTTTTTTTTGACATGGAGTTTCGCTCTGTCACCCAGGCTGGAGTACAGTGGGGCGATCTTGGCTCACTGCAGCCTCCGCCTCCCAGGTTCAAACAATTCTCCTACCTCAGCCTCCCAAGTAGCTGGGATTACAGGCACCCGCCACCATGCCCAGCTAATTTTTTTGTATTTTTACTAGAGAAGGGGTTTCACCATGTTGGCCAGGCTGGTTTTGAACTCCCGGCCTCAAGTGATCCACCTTCCTCGGCCTCCCACAAAGTGCTAGGATTACAGGCGTGAGCCACAGTGCCCGGCTATAATTTTTAATGCATGTTTTATGCACTGAAATTTATCAATCTTCTCTTTCCTTACCTCTAGATTTTGAGCCATGATTAGAAAGTCTTTCCCTAGACTACCCTAGAGGTTGGAGAAATCCATTCATGTTTTCTTCTAGTCCATGTGTGGTTTCATTATTTTGTGTTTAGATATGTAAGCCATTTGAAGTTTATTCTTACAGCGTGAGGTTTGAATATAATTTTTCTTTTTACAAATGGCTAATGCATTGTCCCTGCATCATATATGTAAAAGTTGCTGCTTTTCTTCTCAGTGGTTTAAGACAGTACTTTTATCACATGCTAAATTTCCATATGTACTTGTTTCTATTTCGTGCTTTCTCTTTTAGTCCATTGGTCAATTTGTCTATCTGTGGTTCAATACCACACTATCATAATTGTTTCGAGCTTTCTAGTATGTTTTAATTCCTCATGGAGCTATTTTTCCCTTCTGCCCATATTCTTCTTTTAATTCGTGGGCAATAAACTTGGGATGCATGTAGAACAAATAAGGCCACACAAACAGGGTGTAACTAATTCCGGACTGGTGGGGACTACGAAAGATAGGGGAGTTTTCGGCCTGCCCGAACTAAAGGAAACAGTTGCTCTTTAGTTCTAGCGAGAGTTTCTCAGTGGGAATGCAGGTCAAATTTAAGATCTGATTTTTTCGAGGTGGGTGAGACAAAACATGCGAGTTCTATGAGAAATCTTCCAATTTTAAAATGCTAGTTCGTTAGCAAAGAGTTACATTTTCTTTCTTTCCTTTTCTTTTCTCTCTTTTCTCTCTTTCCTTTTCTTCTTTTCTTTTCTTTTTTTCTTTCTTGAGTTTCGCTCTTGTTGCCCAGGCTGGAGTGCAAAGGCATGATCTTGGCTCACTGCAACCTCCGCCTCCCAGGCTCAAGTGATTCTCCTGCCTCAGCCTCCCGAGTAGCTGGGATTATAGGCACCCATCGCCACGCCTCGCTAATTTTTTGTATTTTTAGTGGAGACAGGGTTTCAGCTGGCCAGGCTGGTCTCGAACTCTTGACCTCCAGTGATCCACCCGTCTTGGCCTCCCAAAGTGCTGGGATTAAAGGCGTGAGCCACGGCACCTGGCAAGAATTACATTTTCCTTTACTTTTCTTTTCAGCAGTGTTCTGAGCCAAAAAGTTGAGCCATCAGTAAGCTACATATGGCCCAAAGATTTCTAGATCGCACACTCTGCTGTGTACAAGAACTTGCTAAACAGTGATGTACACAAAATTAAGTTCTGATAATTTTGTATCAAATTGTTGAATAAATGAGTTCTTCAGAAAGTAAATACAGTCATCTCAAAGATATGCAAAGGAAATAAAGATGCCCATAGACTATAGTTCAAATGTGCAAATACTTTCTATCATTGTGTTTTCAGAAAGAAAGAGAGTAAAATATCTTTAAGATGACTGTTGTCCCATTGCTGTCTCAAAATGGTATTATACTTAGTGAAAGTGGTTATTACAAAATAGATTTGAATGGAGTTTTATGACTATTTATAATTTAAGATGAAATATATGTGTATACTGTCATCAATACATACAAAGAGAAAGACTAATAGAACATTTTATTTCAGATTATTTTTGAAATATATATGTAAAGTTTTCAATCATAAAACCTGAAAACAAAAACGAAACTTAACAGTATTACATGATATAAAATGAAAAGTATAAAATCTTACCCTCACCAAAAATAATCATATGGCCAAGCACGGTGGCTCACGCCTGTAATCCCAGCACGTTGGGAGGCAGAGAAGGGTGGATCGCTTGAGGCCGAGAGTTCGAAACACGCCTGGCAAACATGGTGAAACCCTGTCTCTATTAAAAATACAAAAATTAGCCAGGCTTGGTGGTGCACCCCTGTAGTTCCACCTACTCAGGAGGCTGAGGCAGGAGCACTGCATGAACCCGGGAAGTAGAGGTTGCAGTGAGCCGAGATTGAGCCACTGTACTTTAGCCTGGCTAACAGAGCGAGGCTCTGTTCTCCCCCGCCAAAAAAAAATAAAAACGTCAGATTCTTATTAATGCTTTATATTTATATATGTACAAATTAATTAGTAAAATATATTATAATGAACTTATTATTCTGTATCTTTTTTTCCATTTTCATATCAGTTTATGGGGAGCTGCCTCATTATCTGTATTGCTGTAAAACATCCTATTATGTGGATTGTACTTCATCCTTTAATTGATAGTTATTTCCATTGTTTTTAGTTGTGCTATTTCAAACAATGCTGAAATGAACATTGTGTGCATGTGTAAGTGTATCTATTAATTAAATCCTTAGAGATGTACTTGCTGGGTCAAAGGATGTGTACCATTCAAAAATGTTAAAATAAAGTAAATATGTAATGGGTATGGCAATATTAATTTCAGTATTTTTCTGGAAATTGATTCCAAAGGTTTTAATTTATTATTTAAAAGTTAAATGTAGATTTTATGTATTACAGATATTATCCTATAAAAATTATATTCTACATTTGTTTTTAATTTTGAAAACATTATATTTATTGTCATGATATATATGTTTATTAGTGATAAAATAGAAAACATAGATAGAAGCAAAGCCTAAATATTTTACAACATCCCACAACATCCCAAAATAAATAACATCTTTTAAAGCAGTTTTGTAAGCATATTAATTTACAAGTATGGTCATAGCATGTAAATTATTTTATGTAAGTTATATGTTACTTAAAAAGTTATAAATATATTTTAAAATTTATAAAATTATTTTAAATGGAAAAATTGTTTTCTAATATATAAACACAATTATAATAAACTAATCAATCCTTGTTAGGTATTTCTGTGATCTTTAATTCAAATTTTTCATTGCTAGAAATATGCCATGAACTTTCAGCAGGCTGAGATTTTGAATATTTGAGACAATTCCGTGAACATAGTAGGTGCTTGATAAATATTTCATAAATGGATACAAGAATTATTAAATAAATACAGTGGTACATTTTGTTTCTGCTAAATGTTTATTATTTCCTTAGGATAAAGTCCTAGTGGAGTTTATCACTAGATCAAAAGGCAAATTTCCAAATGGGAATTAAGATTTTTGATATTATGTCTGACAGTATAGACCTCACTTAAAGTGAAGGACAGCAAAGCTTTCTTAACCTAACCCTTATCAATATGTCATCCATATATGTGTGTGTGTGTGTTCGACTATGTATATGTGTGTATATATGTATATATGTGTGTATACATGTATGTGTATATAGATATGCATCTATTTATACATACATTCACAAATATACACACAGACATATACAAGCCACACACATATATATACATGTTTACACACACCTATACTGTTAATTTGAGATGTGGTAACTGATGTCTCAATTTTGTCATAATTGCTTTTCTTTTTAAAACTAAGAACAAGTATAGAAAATTGCAAAGGCTAGCATTACAAACACTGTTTATCTGCCATCCAAAAATGAACAAAATTCGTTCAAATGTGCTTTAGGTGTGTTTAAAATAAAACAGAGCAGTCAAACACCGTCTTCTATATTCTTTGCCCTAACTCTCGTTCTTCTCCATGTGCAAGCATTTTTACAAATTAATCTGCATTTGATATATGTTTTTAAAATTTTTACCTCATGTATATGAGTGTTAAAGCATATATTTTATTTTATGTTTTTAACTTTTACATAAACGTTGTTAATGCTATCACAGACTTCGCAAATCTCAACATTGTTTTTCTCTCTTCCATAATACGTAATAGTTTCGTGATTACATTTTACTTATTTTAAGTTCTTTCATTATTTTGAAGTAATGATAAATCCATTTTCATAACTTGATTTTCTTCATTTATAAGCTATCCATTGCCCGCATGCAATTATCTTTAGAAAATGTTTGTATCAATAAGATGCCAGAGGCCACCCTGAGTTTTATGATTTTGTCTGCTAGCCTTTTACACTTCTTCCATGTCTGGATACTTGCAGAATTAAAGTCCTTTCACTTTGAAACATTTGCCCAGATGAGGCTACGTATAAGCCCTATGTGCCAGTTTTGACTATAACATGATAGTTGCTCACGAGAAGGAAAATGATGCTTTCTATAATTCTGCAAACCTCAGTCCTCAGTTAACATCTTTTTGATAAATTGCTATTGATCTATTTTTCCCAATGGCTCATTTGGAAAGTGAGAGTTTTTCTGAAGTCATCCCTCTATTCACTAGTCTCCTTATTGATCACTTACTTTCTCATCATCTTTAATTTGTTGGCTTTTCCTCTGACTTCTGAGAGTGTTTCCCAAATTTGTTCTCTAGTTTAGAGATATTTCTTAGCACCACTTGCCCTACAGGAGCAAATATTTATTTCTAATGTTGAAGCTTGGTTAGTTGTTTGATTTTCCTTGTAATTTTATCTTATTGTACCTTCTTTTCCTTGCAACCATTGTCTTTTCATTATCAAGCTATGTCCCAGCTTTGTGGAAATTGTGTCTTCTTAAATTGTACAACGAATAAAAATTTCCTGAAATTTTCTCCAGTACATGCAGTAGATTGTTTTCAGAGATTTGCACTCCTTCTGAATCTTCTAGATCCTATCCTATTGTCATTATTCTAAAATGTAGTTTGGCCTTAGTTTCATAAATAAAAAATTTGGAAATGTTTAAAAATTAATTAAAACAACAATAGGAGTCAAGATATTCTGTAATACTAACTCAATTTAATTTAATAAATACTTGCCATATACTTGCAATGTGTCAGGAACTACTGTAGCCACTCATAGGGCAAATATTAATAATCAATTTTCCTGCATTTGAAGAATTTACAACCCAATGAGTAAGATAGTTGATAAATGACTCATTATGATGCTAATCAAACTAACATAAATGCTATCTTAGAGGCAAATGACCAAATCTCAATAGGTTTGGGAAAGTTTTCATCGATAAACTTTTAATTGGGTTATAGATAACATGAACTTTAACAAGCAAAAAATAATTCTCCTGAGAATCATTTGAATAAGATGTAATCGTGTTTTGAAATTTGAGAAAAATGTATGATATGTATATGTAGATTATATATATCATTATTGTGTATGTATACATACATATGTGTGTATATATATACATATATAAATATATTCTTGCCTATATTTCCATAGCTGAAAACATGGAACCTTATGCCTTATTATAGTTTACATTATATAAAGTATATGAAAGATCCAGCTGAAACTCAAGTCTCAGGTTCTGGAAGCACTGGAGCATCTAGCCATAAGTATTTGATGGTCCAGCCATGTTTTTAACATGTTCACCTGTATGTTTCAACAGCCCTTTTGGAAACAAAACCATTTTTACTTTTTTGTTCTTGAGTCACATTTTGAGGGACTACACGCTATTTGGCTGCAGTTTTCATTTCTGCAACCATTTTAACGGTTTTTACAAATCAACCAAGCAGCCCCACCATGGGCTTGATGATTTGGTTGTGCAACATGAAAGAGGAGGGAGCTATGAAATTGAAATGTATGGACAGAAAGAATTCTCACCCTATATATGCAGTATTGATCTAAGTGTTTGGTGCAACGAATTCTTAAGTGAACTTTTCTCGTTCCATATATCAAGAGTCCTATATTCACACAACCATTAAATATCGTAGTCAGAATCATTAGAAGTTATCAGTACCAATACCCTGAGACCTAGACAGGTGAAATGACTTTCTCAAGGCCGTCTAGCTGATTAGAGACAGATGGGGGAATAAAAATTACCTTTCCCAATTCTACCACTAATAGTTTTTTTGCTATAATCAGCTATTTAATATAGTCTACTCTTTCCTCAAATGCCAAAATTTTGTATCAAGGGTCTGAGGACCAGCAAATATTAAATACTGTGGCCATCAGCCAACGATGACTCAAGAAGAATCAAACTTCCAGGTGCATTATAGATCATGTGGGGATCTTGGAAAATACAGATTCTCATTCAGGAGGTGGAGGGCAGGGCCTGAGACTCTGCTTGTCTAACAAGCTTCCAGGAGATGATATCAATGCCACCGGTTTACAAACACGCTTTGATTAGCAAGGAGCCAGTTGACCTCAAGTTTGGTTCCTAATAAGTTTTCCGTAAGAAATTATTTGTATTGTTGGTGTTTCATACAAAGAGAACCCCATCCTGCTTCTCTCTAAGGTCATCCCTGCTACATATCTTTCCCTGCCTCCCCTCATACCCAGGGGAATCCACTCAATAGAAGGACTATTTGGGAGCAACTTCCAACCCCCTTCGACCTTGTTACTGAAATGCCTTAGGTGTAAAAGCAAGATAGAAATCAGTCAGATTCAGAGATAGAAGGTCACCACCAAAAGCTGCAAAGATAAAACCTAGAAGAATCAGAGCTGGCTTAAGATTGATTAATTATCTTTCTCCTCACCCAGCCAGCTTATCTTGGTCCATTGAGGAATTTATCTTCATTTTCTCTCTTGCATTTAACTTGTTTGAATAGGAAATGAACTGCTTGAATTTCATGGGGCTGAGTGTTTAACCTCAATGGAACCACATGGACTAACTGCAAATACTGAAATGCCAATCAATGGGTACTCAAAAGAGGAGATTCCCGAGTCCTGCACCTGCAGCTAAAGACAGAAACGCTATTTATACAAAGTCGGGTGGTTTAAAGATATGTAAGTTATCCACATAAATTATTTGCTTTCTTATAAATAAAATAAGAAAAATAAATCAACATTGCCCCTCAAGGAAACCAGGCAATGTGCTTAAAAGAAACTTTAATGACCTTTGCCTTCATTTATTAATGTGTTGCTTTCCTAGGAATTTGGATTTTGGAGGGAAGTTCTTCCTGGGTTATCTATGGGCACACCATGTCCCTACACACTCAAGACATATGGCAAGAGGAGAAGGGCATTTTTGGCAGAGGAGGTTCACGCCATTCTCCTGCCTCAACTTCCCGAGTCAGTCGCTGGGACTACAGGCGCCTGCCACCATGCCCGGTTAATTTTTTGTATTTTTAGTAGAGATGGGGTTTCACTGTGTTAGCCAGGATGGTCTCGATTTCCTGACCTTGTGATCCACCCATCTTGGCCTCCCAAAGTGCTGGGATTACAGGCATGAGCCACCACACCCAGCCAAAATCAACTGTGTTTTTACCTCAAAACAAAAAATGGTTTTGCAAAGGGAGCTTGGCTTCATCTGTTTCAACAGTGTAAAGATTTGAAGGTCAAAGTTTTCCTCAATATGGCTGATCTAATGCAAAGCTCAAGAACATTCATGTTTTTCACCAAGGTAACTATAACTAAAGGGACAGATAACTTTTGTATTGAAGCCACATGGGAAGAAAAAGAAGGACACATTGTCTTCCTTACAGGAGAAAAGAGCAATTGCTCTGTGTATACAAGACAGAGAAGTCAATGGCCTAATGGATTATTCGATCATATTCCCAGAGCATGTTCAACTACATTGCCTGATTACGGTCAGACAACTAGAAACCAAAATAATTCTTGTAAAACCAAGGGGCATGTATTATTTTTGCTACTAGACACAGGCAACTGGTAGGGCTGGAAATACAAGACTTATCCCAGCTAGAAGCAGCAACCACCTGATTCATTGCCCTGTATTTCCAAAAGTATCCTCTCCTTTTCTGTAAAAAGAGAGGAAAATGGAGGAAGATACTTCCTTGTCAGAGGAGAAGGATATGTTCTTGCATCTGATAACTAAGGATGACCAGTCTCAATAATCCATTTCTAAGCCCCTATAGAAAATAACCACGTTTTCTCCTCTCCATGACCCCTAGACAAAGGAGACTAATGACCTCCCAAACAAGTTACCACAAGTACAAGTTATGACTATCACCATTCCTTCTGTCTGCAAGGTAGGAGCCTCTTCCTCACTCAACGGCCCTTCCCCAGAACTCTGATTCTAATAGTTAACACTTGTTGTACAATACACTTTGTTTCCAAAGTCTGGTGATGGGTCGCAAAGAACAGAGCCCACATTCAAATTTCAAAACAGAATAGTTTTTAATTATATCAGGATTCTGGCTTATAGAATCACAGAATTTCAGAATTAGGCCAACCTCTTTGACTTGACTGATTAGGAAATTAAGGTTCAGCACAGGCTGATGATTTGCAACTAGTAAAAATAATAACGGTGAATATGCAGTACATGTTTACTATGTCCTTGGTACTGCCCTAAGACTTTTGTGAGGATCGCCTCATTCCTCAAGACAACCACTGATTACATACTGCTATTAGATCCATTTTGTAGATGAAAACCTGCAGCACAAATTGCTTAAGTAACAAGCCCAAGGTGTTCACATCAGTGCACAATGGGGCCAGGAATGAAATCCAGGCAGTCCAAAGCCAGATCAGAGCCCTCATTCCAATTTGCAATGTTGCAGCAGACGCACGACTGGCATTGAGCTTCCCTTGCCCCCTGTGCAGCCTGCCTTGTGCTTCTCATATCACTTAGCTCAGCTCAAATAGGAACATTCTGTTAGGAGCCTTAGGGACCTGAGATCTCATTAACCTCTCTACTACTTCTTTCAAATAGCCTCATGGGTACCCATAAGTATTATTTTATTTCTGGCTCATAAACTTTCCACCAGGACAGGACACCACATCAGTGAAGTCATTAAATCTTTATAATAACAATATTATGCTAATGGAAATTATTAGTCTATTCCTCATCCCCCAAAAACCATCTGGTAGGTTTACCTGGCCAATTACTTTGAGATGTCATAGTGAATCTTAAAGCATAAAGAATATAGGGATTCATAACTTTCTCTGAGCAGTGGAGTTTTCCATGTGGTAACAAGCTGGCATGGCTGGACTATTGGATTTAGACATAAACAGGATACTGGAAAAGGCTGGGGGAGAGCACACGGCAGCTCTCAGATTAGAATTCAGGTGGTAGGGTAGAAAGCATAGGTATTTCCAAGTCCAGGCTTTCTACTGGGAGAATGGGTTGCCAATATTTTGATTGCTTCATGAATTTCTTCATAAAATGGCTTGTTCTTTAATATCAAATAATAAAACGTAGGTATTAGGGCCCATTTAAGTAATTTAGAGTAATTAGAGTCTTAAGTAGGGAGCACATGTTCAGAGCAGAACAATCTCTCTCCAAACAACAGTGATGTCAGAGGTTTTAGGTGTGAGTCTGTTTTCTCTCTCTCCTCCCTGTGGCTCAAACGCATGGTGTGGTTTCCCTTCCTGGAGCCCAGTTACCCAGTAACTCCTGAAATGGCTGGATAAATGTTGGCTGCCATGCACATTCAACCTTGAAAGCACAACAATCTGGGATTTTAATTCAAACAAATGTGAAAATGGATTATAAATAGGATCCAGCTGCATTTCTAATAGTGAAGAGAAAAAAGGAGCTGTGACCAAAAAAGTAAGGAAAAGGAAAATGAAAGCACCTTGCCTTTCTTTCCATGGCCTCCTCTCATGCTGCAATCACTGCCCTATTGAAAGAGGCCTCAAGAAGTTCTAAAATGTTTTAATTGTGTTTAATTAAGTTGTCATTTGTTACTTGTCTTCCTGAAAGTCTTGGCTAATTAAACCAGGCGGCATTTTCAGATCTATGTGGTTACCTCCAGCCTAGCATTTAATAAAGGAAAATAAAAAGGTTAGCAGAGGCTGTCTTCCTGGAGATTTCCCATCCTGCTGCCAACAACTCCAGTTTATATATTAGCACAGATGTTGGCCAGCACAAACCAAGATTTCTGCAGGGGTGTTGACAAAGACGACCCCCACCCCAACCCTCCATGATCCTTTTCTCCTTCCCACAGCAACTTTCGTATAAGTCAATATTTGAATATGGAAAAACTGTGTGCAATTCATCTCAAATCATCAGCACCTCACAAAATGGAATAATGTTACCTACAGCCTGGATCAGTGGGGAAATCCAAACCTCTCAGTTCAAAATTCATTCTAATAGAAAGCCTTAAGGTCACTGACTATGTCTTAAGTGTCAACCTCTACCAGATGTTTTAATTATGCCTGGTAATATCCCCTAGAGGGTCACTGTGTGATCGTGCAAGTTATACCTTGCACAACCATAGAGGGCGCCTTCCGTGGCATGATCACCAGTGATTTGTAGTTTTAGTATGAAGATTTTCCGGCAGATGGCAGTAAAGTGTCTTGAGGACAGGTCCCCAATTTCTAATCCTTTATTAGGCCTGGGACAGTACAGACCCACACGATTTATCACTGGGCTAAATTTTAAGTAAAGAACAGGTCATCATATTTCTTAAGCTTTTTCACTCCTGTCCTAAGAATTACATCAACTTTTTATCAAATGAAAACACTATTAGTGAATCTCACTCTATCATCATAGCAAACATGGGTGTTTTCACATTGACATAGAACTCCTTTGTTTATTTAAAGAAGAAAAACTACCCAGAATTAAATAATTTTGAAGGAATCTGTTCCATGTATGCAGCACCCAACAGACCACAAATCTTTGTTTCTCTGACTTAGATATAAAACCCTCTACCCCTCCCAAATTTGCTCACAAGAATCAATAATACAGGTCAGACACTGAATTTGCCTACAATGGCAAATGCTTCCCAAACATTTCAGCAAACATTCTCTAAGTTTGTCTTTTCCCTTCCAAGGATTGCTTGTTTCACCTGCAAACACTCCCAATGTGAATATGTTTAGCCCCTTCATTGTGGAAGGCAATTATTTGTTTGACGGGAAGCTTAGGGAGATAGCAGACAATTTTGCAAACATACCTACAGGTCAATAGTAATTCTAAAACCTCCTGTTCCTCACTCCCATCTCCTTGAAATGTGTCTGTCTGGGGTTTTAGTAAATATTCTTGTGGGGTCTCTAAGATGCCTTTATATATTTTATGCACAGGCAGGATTGTCCAGTGATCTTCCAAAAATGTGTGTGTGGCTTAGAAAAGCATTAGCCTCTAGGGATCAGTTAAAATAGCACAATCCAAGACCATGTATGGGCCGTTGAAGACATACAACCACCAAGGTCCCCAAGATGTCTGTTTTCAAAGGCACCCACGCTTCATTGTCAATGGGAAATAAGTCAGGAGAAATAAAAGTGAAAATAAAGAAATGTAAGAGAAAGGGTCAAGGACATCAGTAGACACATTTCATATATGTTCAATATGGGACTGGTATTTTAAAGAAGGAAACTTTAAGGATACCAATATTGTCATGTCTGCAAAACAAAGCTAATTTCTTCCTATTACATTTATTAAATTTAATCTTCTGATTAAAATATGAAATATTTTCATATTAAAATAATGAAAAAGATGAAATAAAGATGGAGAGGAGGAAGAGGAAGAAAGAGAAAAGAGCAAGAAAGGAAAAACAAGAAAGAAGGAAGAGAGGGAAAGAGGAAGGGAGCTAGTGAAGGAAGAAGGCTAAAGCTAAATCTGGATAACAGTTATGTAGGACCCTGTGTATCACAACCTTAAAAAGGGCAAACTCTGGCCCATCTATTTTACTTGAGATAATTTATTCTATAAAAATAAGAGATATGCAGAAGATACATACATAGCAGCCCAGGCACGGTGGCTCAAGCCTGTAATCCCAGCACTTTGGGAGGCCGAGGCAGGCAGATCACTTGATGTCAGGAGTTCAAGACCAGCCTGGCCAACATAGTGAAACCTGGTCTCTACTAAAATTACAAAAATTAGCTGGGCATGGTGGTGGGCACCTGTAATCCCAGCTACTTGGGAGGCTGAGGCAGGATAATCGCTTGTACCCAGGAGGCAGAGGTTGCAGTGATCCGAGATTGTGTCACTGCACCCTAGCCTGGGCGACAGAGACTCCATCTCAAAAAAATAAAACAAATGAAAAACACACACGAAATGAAAAAAAAACCACATATATATGCATATATATATATGTATAACATACATATAATAATGTTCACTGCAGCATTGTTTATAGTTGTGGTTAACTAGAAACACCCTAAATATCCAACTAGAGAGGATTTGTTAATTGGCCCCTGCCGACTCTTCTTCCCTCATCCTAGTACTCTGCACACTTACTTCTATCCATTTAACTGACCTATTTGAGAGCCTTCACAAATCCAATTACCTCTTCCTCAAATTCTGAGCCCCATCACTTCATAGAGCTATTCGTTCTTATCCTTCACGTCCGTTTTCTAGCACTCTGCCTTCCTCTTTCTTTATCCAACCTAGCATGTAGTACACTCACTTCTCAATATTTTTTGTTCATTGTAATTGCATATTTATGGTTTCATTTGACTGTTTAATGCCCAATTTCTTCCAGTAGCTAAAATCTCCACGATGACAAGGAGCAAATTCAAGCCCTACATGCTTAGTGTCCATTCTCACCTTCCCTATGGAAAGGGCTTAGAAAATGTTTGTTGAAAGAATAAGTCTATAAAACAAGAATATTAAGCATGAAATTGCCATTGCATGACAACTAAGTTATAAGTTTTTAATAATTTCTCACAACATGTTTGTTTCTTCCTGTTTTCAACATGAATACCTAAACTAATAGGTACTAGTTTGTAATATAATTTTCTCACTTATAATTTCTCTAGTTTTCAGTAATTTCTTCAATATGTTTAAAAACATTAATAATTTCTTACAATATGTTTAAAAACAATAATTTCTCACCATATGTTTAATGTTTTTAAACATATGGTGAGAAATTATTGAAAACTAGATAAATTATAAGTGAGAAAAACACATTACAAACTAATACCTATAATATTGTCCTAATTTAAAGTTTAAGAAAATTCTTTTGCGTACGTCCCTGAATTTTTCATGTCTTCTATGCTGAACATGTGTCATTTTTAGAATGAAAGGGAAATGTTTCAAACTGCCTCTTATTTCACTATAATCTATTTATGTCTTCTCTATTTCTCAAGGTACTAAATGCTATATGCACCTACTAGAGTACTTTCTCCATCGGTCTACGCAAACCTTTGTATTGATCTCTGTGTTAGTTACCATTTTGATATCTGTATTAGTTATCTACTGCTGTGTAACAAACTATCCCAAACCTAGTAGTAGAAAACAATACCAATGCTTTTATTATTATCTCACAGTTCTGGAGGTTGACTATTCTCAGTAGGCAGTTCTTGCTCAGGGTACCTCATGCAGTTGCAGTCAGATGGCGGCTAGGACTGACATCATCCCCAAGGATACCTTGCTCATATGTTTGGCGATTGATGCTAGCTGCCAGCTGGGAGATATTGGCCAGAAATCTACATATGGCCTCTCCACATGGCCTGGAATTCCTTACTGCATGGATGCTGGGGTCTGAGAGCAAGCACCTCGATGGCAACAGGCAGAATTCATATCACCTTTCATGACTTAGCCTTAGAAGCCACAGGTCATCACTTCTGCCACACTCACGCGCACCCAGATTCAAGGGGAGGAAACATTGACCTCACTGCTCAATAGGAAAAGTATTGACGTTACATTATAAGAACAGTGTGTAGGCCGAGCATGGTGGCTCACTCCTGTAATCCCAGCACTTTGGGAGACCAAGCCAAGTGGATCACCTGAGGTCAGGAATTCGAGACTAGCCTGGGCAACACGATGAAACCCCATCTCTGCTAAAATACAAAAAATTAGCCAGGCTTAATATTCTTGTTTTATACAACATGGTGAAACCCCATCTCTACTAAAAATACAAAAATTAGCCAGGCATGGTGGTACATGTCTGTAATCCCCGCTACTCGGGAGGCCGAGGCAAGAGAATTGCTTGAACCTGGGAGGCGGAGGTTGCAGCGAGCCAAGGTTGTGCCACTGCGCTCCAGCCTGGGCAACAGAGCAAGATCTGTTTCAAAAAAAAAAAAGAAAGAAAGAATAGCATGTAGGATGGGAGATATTGTGGGGGCCATATTTAGAAAGAAAACTCACTGCAATGTCTTGAAACTTTGATTTGTAATTCCCCACTACTACCCTAAATTCTCACAATATGCAAGAAAATTTCAGTTGGCCATTTTTAAATAAGTTTATTTATGTGTATTATACGCTCAATAAATATTGCTGCTAAGCATTAAGAAGCAGAGGTAGCTCCAAGCTAGCTCTCTGGAGTCCTGGGATTTCATTCAAAGACTGCCATTGTCTCACAAGTTTCTTACCCTCAGTTTTACATTTTTTTTTTAATTTAATATCAGCCTGCCCTTTCAATATCACAGAATTTTGAGAAAGAATGGAAAAAAAAACCCACAGAATTTCCGAAAATGAGTTATTCTAATTGCTAGCTTTAGAGTTTCAGGGGATATTATAGGTGTTACATTAAAAAAAATTCGAAACTTTGGGTTGGTACATTGAATGTGCTGGAGATTATTGCATATCTATGAGAGAGAAGATCAGAACTCAGAAGATCAAGTAAATAATAGTGCTTTCAACGTTTCCTATGTTTTTTGAATAGGGAATCATTTTTTAAAAATATAACATTTTACAAAATCTTAGTCTCTTTTCAGTGAGAAGTGAGCAAAGTATGTGAACATAGCCATGGTATATGTCCTATTTGGGTTTTTGTTTAAACGTTAAATGAAAGAATAATAACCAGCTTGAGTATGTGATATAAAGGTAAGTAGCAATGTATTTAATGTGCCCAGAATAATATCTTCCACATAATATGTCCTTAATTGGTGATGATTATTTCTATGCAAAGAAAACAAAATTTTTGTCTCTGTCCTTGAGCTTACCACATACTAAATCAATGTTATAAAACTACAAGGTATTAATCAAAGGATCCATAAATTAGCTCCATATCTGCCCTTTTAAGCATTCCATAATAAATGATATTTATTAATTATTTTTTAAGTGAAAGGAGTACTAAAAATTCTATCTGCTGGCCCAGAAAAATGGTATTTTTTAAAAAAAATCTATCTTGATCTCTTAGTAAAAATCAAGGCTCAAAGTCACATTAGAACTAGTCTAGATAATGTGTAAGTATAGGATGTGAATTTGTATCCCAAGCAACTTAGGAAAATGCTATTCCAGGATATTGGTCCAAACCATGAAGCTATTATGACACTGGCTGATGTACGGACACATCCACAACCCAAGTCCCTATCAAAGAGGAGCTTGCTGTTAAAAACTACAAATTGTAAAAGGAAACTCACCATCATTGGTAGTAACTGGGAGTATCACTAGAAGTAACCAATAGGAAAATCAGCACCCGAAAAATAAGAAATTATAAAACACTTGGCCAGGCACAGTGGCTCACACCTGTAATCCCAGCACTTTGGGAGGCCAAGGCGGGTGGATCACCTGAGGTCAGGAGTTTGAGACCAGCCTGGCCAACATGGCGAAACCCCATCTCTACTAAAAATACACATAAAAATTAGCTGGGCATGGTGGTGGGTGCCTGTAATCCTAGCTACTTGGGAGGCTGAGGCAGGAGAATTGCTTACCTAGAAGGTGGAGGTTGCAGTGAGCCGAGATCGCGCCACTGCACTCCAGCCTGCGTGACAGAGCGAGACTCTGTCTCAAAAAAAAAAAAAAAGAAATTATAAAACACTCTAGAAGTCTACAAAAGAAACGTATTTTAAATGTTTAAAGAGCTAAAAGTAGAAATAAATATATTGAAAAAACAGCGATTGTATGAATAAGGAACACATACTTTTAAAAGGACTAAATGAAAACTCTAGAAATAAAAAAGAAACATGAACTCAGATAAAAAGTAATAGGGTCAAGATGCAAAGTAATGTAAAAATTTTAAAAAGATTCAAAGTGGTTAATATACAGCAATGTATATAACAATTACTGTATGTTTACTAATTTGTTTCACTTGAAATCAAGGATAAACTAAAAAACAAAAGCGTGAAAGATGGAAGTTACTTGATTAGCCATTTTTATAGTTCCTCATATTGATTTGCAGGAGGATTGAGATGTTGGTCAACACTAGATTTTGTCACATAAATAAACCATGTTTAAAATATAAAAGTAACCACAGCAAAATAAAAAAAACTGTATAGCATTCAAACTACAGGAAGAAACATGTAGAAAGTTCAGTTATCCTGATAGAATTTTTCTATAAAAATAAAAAAAGCACATTCAAATTAAAGAGAAAACCTAACATTCCTTGTTATAAATTCATTCAAATATCACATCAATAACTAAAAATAAAGCTGGATTATATCTCTGTTAAGTGGCATTTTTCAGAATATATTCTTACATATCTATGAATTTTTATAAGCGATATCCCATACGATGTTGATGGTTTTTCTTAACTTTATTGTTATTCTAGTCATTTACTTTTCAATCTAGCACATCCAATTAATTCTAGATACTTATTTCTTAGTGAAACACTAGAACTTGAATGAACTCAATAGGCAAGCATAGGTACCTTTCTAAAACCTATCAGAATGGCTAAAGTAAAAAAATGACCATACCAAATAGGGGGAATACATTCCCATGAGAATGTAAGATGGCACAGTTACTTTGAAAAATAGTTTGGCAGCTTCTAATGAAACTAAAAATTCTCTAAACATACAGTCTAGCAATTATACTCTTAGATATTTATTATAGAAAAATAAAGGAGTATGTTTATACAAAAGCTTATGCATGAATGTTGATAGCAACTTCGTTTGTAACTGCCAAAAATGGAAACAACGCAGAGATCTTTCAATGGGTGGATTGTTATACAAATGTGATGCATAGATACTATGAAATACTGCTCAGCAATTTAAAAAAATACATACTACTGATACAAGCAATGACTTAGATAGACCCCAGAAAATTATACTGAATAATGACAGCTAATCACCAAAAGGTTATATAGACTGTATGATTTCATTTATACATCACGTTTGAAATAAAATTATAGAAATGAACAAATTAGTGGTTGCCAGGTGTTTGGAATGAAGGGGAAAATGGCTATAAAGGGGTAGCTTCCGTATCTGGTGGTGGTTACACAAACCTACAAATTATGATAAAATTGCACAGGACACATTCATGCATACACACACCCACACACACAAACGGGTTCATGTATAACTGAAAAAATGTCTATTTTCTGGTTTTGATTATTGACTATAGTTATGCAAAATGTTAATATTGGAAAAAGAGTGCAGCAGACCCCTCTGTACATTTTCTTGCAACTCGTGGTGAATATATACTTATTTCAAAATGAAAATTGTATTTAAAAAAAGAAAGAGTTTTTTATTCTTCTTAAGACATGGTAAGGTTGCCTGTGACATTGGGCTAACTGCCATCAGATACTAATGACAGTCCTTGTCTCTCTCTTTTTTTTCTCTGTGTCCCTCTGATAACAGACCAATAGTGCTATTTACTGAGACCCTTTTCATTCAATTCCCTTTGAAGAGTTTTAAAATCCCATTTGTGTATTCTAAAGAGAAATTTACATAACATTGTCCTTGGACAAATGTTGAAAAAAAAAGTAAATTTCAATGAGTGTGGGTGTGAGGGGGAGGGAGAATGTCACAGGCCAAAGCACTTGAAAAAGTTTTAACGAGGAAAAAAATTTTTACTTTTTAGGAAAGATCTATTACAGAACTTTACCAAGAAGGTTCTCCATCTTTTATTTATCTGTGCTTTTCTCAAAACATGGTCCTTTATCTATCCTTTTCCTCAAATGTCTTTCAATTTTGTTATTTAATTCAAGTATTGATTAGATTCATGAGAATCCCCAAGGTTGCTACTAATTTTTTACTGATAGCTGATTTTTCAAAAGCTGTAATCTAGAGTCTCCAGTAATTCCTTCCCAATCATTTCCGAAACTCATTGAATTAGTAACTTTTGTTTAGCACTCAGTGTTGCTCCAGCTTCACCCTGGAGGACCAGTGGTTTGTCCCGTTCCACCCTAGCTTCTATCTCTATCTGCTTAATGTTCCTTCTCATTAGGCTGAGAATGTGAGTGTTTGTTTAAAAAACAAAACCAGTAAAACAGAACTCAGAATGCTGCACAATCCCACTCCATGTAGAAACTGAAAGGCAAGAAATGAAAAGATAGCCAGTATAGATTCCATGTGGCATGAGGATTTGTTTTGAGATGGGGTCTCACTCTGTTGCCCAGGCTAGAGTGCAGTGGTGTTATCACTGCTTACTACAGCCTCGACCTCCCAGGCTCAAGTGATCTTCCCACGTCAGTTCCCAGGTAGCTGGGACCATAGGTGCACCGGCACCACATCTGGCTAATTTTTAAACTTTTTGCAGAGATGGGATCTCACTATGTAGCCCAGACTGGTCTCAAACTTCTGGCCTCAAGTGATCCTCCTCACTCAGCCTCCCAAAGTGCTGGGATTACAGGCATGAGCCACTGAGCCTGGCAGGGATTTTTACTTGGCATCTTTAAGTCCACTTTTGACTTACGCTCGGAGAATATCAATAAGTGCTTCTTTTCCAAGCACTTTGAGGCTTCTTCTTCACCATAATATCACAGGTTAATAGACAAAACATGCTTTTTCTTCTCACAGCTTAATTTTCTCACCTCCTGTGCCAATTCTGTCAGGCCTTTGGTCCTCCCCTATTAAGCCATCTTCACTGGTGTTTTGTACTCTTCTGCCACCCAACCAATGGGCTGTATACTAGCAATTCCTTACAAATAGCTTTTTTTGACCCTCAAACTTCCAGCTTAGTTGATTTTTGACTTTTGTCTCAACCAGGGATATTTAGATAACAAGAAGCAGATACACTTCATACTGTCTCAAGAAGATTGACTTTTGTCTCAACCAGGGATATTTAGATAGCAAGAAGCAGATACACTTTACACTATCTCAAGAAGAAAACCTATTTGTAATCTCACGAAACACAAATGCTAGAAAGTTACCAGGCAGTATCTCTGGCCTACTGGTTGGCTCTCTCTTTTTATGGTATGGTCTCTCATCTCTACCCTCTACTCACCTCTCCATTATCTGTTATGTAAGCTAGTTCAAGGGTTTTTAACAAATTTTATTTCCCCTCACAACTTTAACTTGAACATATGACGCTTTGGGTTGCTATGACCCAACTGACCTTAAATCTACCTGACCTATTGTTTTGTCATAATTTTTGATTCCTTAAAAGTGGATTCTGAGACAGGAATCTGAGTACAAGCATTTTATTTGAGAGGTAATCCCAGGAAATACTGACCAGGATGTTGGGAAGTAAAACAGGAAAGAGAAGGCAATAAATACAATGTGTATGATCAAGCCAGTTACCTCTGTGGGCAAGTGGAACTTCATCTTGCCGAGAAACTCTGGAAATTGGTACAAAACACATGCCTCAGAGTTATCCCAGGCAAGAGGCAAAGAAACTGAGGTGTTTACATCCCAACTTCTGTAAGTCATTGCTGAAGAGCTCTTCCTAGGAATATCAATTTCTGGTACTTCTGACTTGCCATGGTCATGTGCAATGATGTCTTTGGTTACCAGAGAAAACACTCAGCTTTGGGAAATCCATCCATGGTGCTCCACAATGGTGAGGTCCCATGGAGCTGGATAGCACCTGACAGCATCTAACATTCACTGCCTTATTTTCTATGTATCTTAGTTCCAATTTAAAATGAGAATATGAGGGGCTCAGCTTGGATTATGGGCCCTTGCTCCAAATAACGTTAGTCATTGAAGCAAGGTCGTCATCTGGTCTGAACATATCTGCCTAGGCCTACCCCTTCAGTAGTGGCTTTGGGGCACCTCCAGAAAAGGTGACAGAGCCTGGGAAAATGTGTCTGAGAAGACAATGCCTTTGGCCACCATAACTACCGTGCACCCCTACTTTATCTCTTTGGTTGCCAGGTTACCTCAGTGAACATCCATTCCTGCTTTCACAAACAAGGCAATATTCTCATGAAATAATCTGCCTACACTCTGCACAGCCTGTATAATTACCCACATATACGGGTAGATACTCCCTTGTGAAGTACTTATAGTCTAACTTCCCTTGGGCAGGATTTCTCCTCTCTATCATGTGCTGCAAAGATCATCTTAAAGGAAAACAGCACCATCACATAAAGAATCCTACTTTACAAAAGAATAGTAGTAGTTTGACCTCTGGCTTTGAGTTCAACACGAAATCCACTTCTGTCCAACGTGTCCATGTACCTTCCCTATGCTGTTGGATATCTCATGGTGCCTGAGGATAATTTCATCCATTCAACAGTGTTTTAAGCTTCTGATGGAAAGAAAGATTGGAATTCCCACTAGTGTAGAAATCAGATACGTCAAGTAGAGATAGTTCCCATAGTTTATTGCCGTTGTGTGGATGCAAACACAACCAGTGCTGAATGCTCACCACAGAGGACTGAAAATATGCCATGTTGTACATCTCCTTGTGGCATCTGAGATGAGGACATGAAGGAAAGACATGCCAAAGATGTCCAAAGTTTGTATTGGAACAAAGGAATTCACTTAGCAATGCTTGCAATTATGAAAAGTGAAGTAACTTCCTGCTTGATCCTAGGTTTTGTGCTAAAATTTCCTGTTAAGAGAATCATGTTGATAATATTGAGCATTTCCTGGGCAATAATGCAAATGATTTAATTGTATTGATTCTATAAGGTTTTAATCATGTCAACTTTTTTTTTAAGAGACAGGGTCTTGCTCTGCTGCCCAGGCTGGAGTGCAGTGGTGCAATCCTAGCTCACTGCTGCCTTGAACTCCTGGGTTCAAGTGATCCTCCCACCTCAGCCTCCTGAGTAGCCGGGACCACAGACATGCACTACCATGTCTGGCTAATTTTTAAAAATTTTTGTAGAGATGGAGTCTTGCTGTGTTGCCCAGGCAGGTCTCAAACTCCTGGCCTCAAGCAATCCTCCTATGAAAGTGTGGGAATTACAGGCATGAGCCACTGCCCCCAGCCTCAAAATTTCCTTATATAGGTGGAAGGAGGTAGTACCTTAGGATGTAAGCACCCAAATGCAAGACAATTATCTAAATCTAAAAAGAGCTCAGCTTGTAAAGTTAGATAAGTTCAAAGTTAACAACTCCAGCACAGCTTCCTAAGAGGGAAATGTCATCTTTAAGATCTTCAATCAAAACTTACTGTTGAGAAATAAACTAAAGCTTATTTATTGGAAACCATTTGTATTGCATCAAAAGTACTAAAGATGTTAACAGATTCTATAGGCTTCAAAGGGCCATTGTAGTTTTAGAAAAATGAGCAATTCAATAACATTTGAACAAATTATTTCAACACAATTTCCATTTCTTTGTCATATAGACAATTTAACACTTCTTAAAATTTCTCCTATGTTTAGAGTTTGTCCAGTTATTTTTTGAAATTATTTATAATCAATAATTTTCCCAATTGAACTTCTCAACTTTTCCACTTTTGTGTTTTTATTGTTCTTATATGCAATACATTTTTTAAGAAATGTATTGGTAATAAAAGATATCATTTTGATTCTCAGATCTTAAAGGAAAACCATGTAAGACCCTGTCACCATCATAGTCTCTCTGCCACACTACATAGAGTAGTAACCTTTAATAAAGCTCACTTTTTAAACAAACGACAAGAAAACACTGATATTCACTATAATATTGGAAATGTGCATTGTAAACTCAGCAAAAAATTTGTATCTAACTTTGTTACCAATAAATACTCAATAATATTTTAGGATAAACCCCATATTCTTTCATATTGTTAGATTTTAGAGTCTAAGACTTAAAAAATTGAGATTGAGAAATATTACATAAATAACTTATGTTCCTTATACATGTTTTCCTAATTTGGGGGGCCCATTGATGGGAGCATTCTAATGCTTGCCTTTCTAAATATGTTTTCTTTCTCCAAAGGTTAGACACCGGGTCCCATGTGGCACAGATACACTTTGTGTTCTGCATTGGTGCACAACATGCCTACTTTGTGCCAGACACACGACAAATATGGAACAAGACATGTAAGATACCTGCTTTCGTGATGTTTATATTTTCATGGGGGAAGACAGATCACAAATAAACATTCGAACAGCATAATTTCACGGAAGTGCAATGTAAAAAATAAATATAATTTGTAGCAAAGCAGGAGTAAAGCAGGATGTCTACTTTAAGACTGGGAGTTCAAAAGAATATTTATCAGTCAGACTAGGTTAGGTTATAGTGTAATAACAAACAAACCCTAAAACTTCAATGGCTAAGGTCAATGAACATTCCTTTCGCATTTAGGCAAAGACGTCTGTGAATCCAGGAGGCTCCGCAGTGGCTTAACCACTGCGTGATGGCTCAGCATTGTTCTTCCATGTTAGCACAGACTTCTAGAGTCTCCATATCAGAAGAAGGAAACTTCATAGACCCTCCCACTGGAAAGGAAATGCTTCTGCCAGGAAGTTGCACATGTAACTTTCACTGATATTTCATTGGCCAAAGCAACCCACCTGATTAGTCTTCCCTAACATCAAAAGGCAGGCAAGGGCCTGCGTGGTGGCTCACGCCTGTAATCCCAGCACTTTGGGAGGCCGAGGTGGGCAGATCGTGAGGTCAGGAGATGGAGACCATCCTGGCTAACATGGTGAAACCCCGTCTCTACTAAAAATACAAAAAATTAGCCTGGCGTGGTGGCGGGCGCCTGTAGTACCAGCTACTCGGGAGGTTGAGGCAGGAGAATGGCGTGAACCCGGGAGGCGGAGCTTGCAGTGAGCCGAGATTGAGCCACTGCACTTCAGCCTGGGTGACAGAGCGAGACTCTGTCTCAAAAAAAAAAAAAAAAAAAAAAAAAAAAAAAAAAAAAACGGCAGGCAAGTTCTGATCCCTCGCTTGTATCCAGAAGAAGGAAAACTGGAAATATTGAAGTGGCTACTGCATTTATTCTGACTCCAGAGTGATTAGGAAGACACATCACTGAAGACTGGGGGGAAAGCATTTCAGCCAAAGGGAATGGCAAAAATAAAAGCCACAAGCTGAACATGAGAATAGATTGTTGAGGGATGAAGAGGAGAGGATAATGAGAATGGAAGAGCCAAAAAGGATGAAGCAG
The DNA here is from genome assembly GCF_000001405.40 of Homo sapiens. Lineage (NCBI taxonomy): Eukaryota > Metazoa > Chordata > Mammalia > Primates > Hominidae > Homo > Homo sapiens. The sequence goes on along the minus strand of NC_000020.11, from coordinate 6,927,416 downwards.
ATGTCTGAGAAAGGCAGCAGGCCACATCATATCCACCTTCTAACGACACGAGGACTTGGATTTCATTCTGTATCCAATGGGAAAGCCCTTGGAGTATTTCAAGCAGAGGACTCACACGATCTGAATTATATTTTAAAATCATACATCCGCTTTTTTTTTTTTTTTTTTTTTTTTTGAGACGGAGTCTCGCTCTGTCGCCCAGGCTGGAGTGCAGTGGCACCATCTCGGCTCACTGCAAGCTCCGCCTCCCGGGTTCACGCCATTCTCCCGCCTCAGCCTCCCGAGTAGCTGGGACTACAGACGCCCACCACCACGACCGGCTAATTTTTTGTATTTTTAGTAGAGACGGGGTTTCACTGTGTTAGCCAGGATGGTCTCGATCTCCTGACCTCGTGATCCGCCCGCCTTGGCCTCCCAAAGTCCTGGGATTAAAGGCGTGAGCCACCGCGCCCGGCCATACATCCTCTCTTAAACTGTCAAAGCCCTCCTTCTCTTTGAAGCTTCATCTCACTCTCTCAGCTGGACTAAGCAATCCACCCTCTACATTCCCTGTCTCCTTGACATTGGCCTCCCTTTAATCAATCACATTGTTGCAGTATAATGATAGGTTTGCCTGTATTTTCCTCATTCAACCATAAAAGCCTTGAGGGCAGGGATCATCTTTTGTTCTTTATATTCCTAAGGCCTAAGGTGATACTTATAATGCTGAATTGTGTTTCTTCTGAGAATGACTAAACTCTGAACCTGGTTCTGGTGCTCAGGATCACCCAGGATGGTGGAATTAGAGAGGAGCAAGCTTTAAGGTCAAGTACGCTGACTAGTAAAAAAGATAAGTACAGAAGTTGTCGTTCAGAGTCGTACACCCAAACCTAAACTTAGGAAAATATTCTTTTTGTTTAAACTTTAAGTTCCAGGATACAAGTGCAGAATGTGTAGGTTACATAGGTACACATGTGCCACGGTAGTTTGCTGCACTTATCAACCCATCGTCTAGGTTTTAAGTCCTGTATGCAGTGAATTGGAAGGGGAGAGAACAGAGTTCTTCCTCCTTGCCCTACTTGTCTGCCAAACCGGTGATGGACTTTAGTGGTTGTTGAGATCATCTGAGGTTTCTAAGGACTACAAGAGCTCCAAGGCTTACAATTTTAAAACCACTGATTCAACTCATCACCTTTATTTCCTCAAATTAAAAAAAAAAATTAAAGAAGAGGGCAATGAGTTGCAAGAGTCACAAAAATAACAACTTGGCTGGGTCATGCCACTCTGACTATGAAACTCAAAATAGTTCTTCTGACCCACGTTACTCTGAGCAGATCTCTCAGGAGTAAAACAGTGTTCTTTTTCTGGGTTCTTAGACTGAAACCTTCAGAAGTGGGAGGCATAATATTATCTGGGCAAGGCCATAACTTCGAAATTCCTCTCATTTCATGTTCTGACAGATCACTTGCTTGCTACCACTCAGGGCACCCATCTATTCACTCAGAATTTTGCCAGAGGCAGGTACCTGACTCAGTTTTCTGGGCTTTTGATTATTCCCAGCATTGTGTGTTTGCACAGAACCTTCCCTAGCAATGAAGCTACCCTCCCATCCTAAGAGTAGAAGAGGAGGAGGAGATTCACAAAAATATATCAAGTTTTCTTTCCCCTTCACAACCCAGGAAAAGTGGGCACTTTTCCTGGTTGCTTTAAATCTAATTGTCTCCAGGCTGAAATTAGAATTAAGAATCGTGCCTCCACGTGTCTGGAGTCAGCCCTCCCATACAATTACTTTCAAGTTGTGCTTACCTTGTTTGAAAAGTGCCTTATAAACAGAATCATATTCTTATATTAACTGTGTTAAAGATATTATCACAGCCATCATCCACATTATCACTTGTAAACTGTTAGATAGTCAAACAGAGACATAACAAAACCTAAGAAGACATTTTTCACTGGTTTCATTTTCTTGAGAGGGGGTGGACTACGTTACTGCCTCCAGCTACTTTACGCTCAACCCTCAATGTGATGTTACCTTGATTCAAAGGAAAGATTTAAAAAAATTGTGTTTTCCATCCAAATATTTTAACTATAAAACCTTACCTCCAGATACATTAATTCAAGTGGAATTTGAAACTTAATGTTTCTGCTTTCTCAGGAATTTTTACTGCCCAGCTGTGATCATTTAGGCAGCCTAGTACTCACTGTTGGAACTCAAACAAAACCGGGGACAGTATGACCCTTTAAAAGATATTTTCTTCAAGTGGATAGAAAAGTCCCCAAATCAAAACAACCCGAGAAGTGAAGGGTCACAAGTGATTTCAAGAGATTACCAAATTCAGCCTCTGTTTTAGACAGGTTGGTAATAGAATCACCAGGACAGAGAGCTAGTCTGGTTTTTGTTTTTGAATTGAACTTTATAACAACTGTGCTCCCTCAGCCACATGCTATATGAAAAATCTTTTCATGCATGTTACATTAACTCCTCATAATGAATTGTCAGGACAATTGTTTTACCCATAGTGCAAGACAGAAAACTCCCAGGGGAGCCTCACAAGGTCCTGTACTTTGCATCATTGTACCAGCTGATTCCTTAGTTGTATTCTTTAACCAGTCTCTCTTCACCTAGTTCAACCTCCTGCTTTAAAGCAAGACTGGAACATGGTTTTCTTTATCAATGCAGCATTTTCTAGAATTGAGAAGACATACCTGCCATTAGTAAGCTGTCAACTCATCCTTATTGTCTAACTTAAACTTCCTACAACGTAGTGAAGCCAGAGCCCAAGCTTTGACACAAGACATCCTCAGGTAGATGTCCTTTCTCTGGCTTTTACCAGAATGTGGGAATTTGACCACATTATTTAATATCACTGAGGTTCGTTAGCACAGTACCTGAAACATAGGAGGCACCCAAAAGAATGACAGGCATTATCATTATGCCTTCAGATATTCTCTTTTATTTTATTTTATTTTGTTTTATTTTTGAGACAGAGTCTTGCTCTGTCGCCCAGGCTGGAGTGCAGTGGCGCAATCTCGGCTCACCGCAAGCTCCGCCTCCCGGGTTCACGCCATTCTCTTGCCTCAGCCTCCCGAGTGGCTGGGACTACAGGCACCCACCACCGTGCCCAGCTAATTTTTTGTATTTTTAATAGAGATGGGGTTTCACAGTGTTAGCCAGAATGGTCTCGATCTCTTGACCTTGTGATCCACCCGCCTCAGCCTCCCAAAGTGCTGGGATTACAGGCCTGAGCCACCGTGCCCGGCCTCTCCTTTATATTTTTTAAGAGACAGTCTTTCTCTGTCATCCAGGCTGGAGTGCAGTGGTGTGGTCACAGCTCATTGCAGCCTTGAACTGCTATGCTCAAGCGATCCTCTCCCCTCAGCCTCCTAAGTAGCTGGAAATACAGGTGCATGCTACCACGGCCAGCTATGTTTTCTAATTTTATTTTTGTAGAGATGGGGTCTCACTATGTTGCCCAGGCTGGTCTCAAATGCCTGGGCTCATGTGATCCTCTTGCCTCCGTCTCCTGAGTAGCTGGAATTACTGGCACAAGCCACCACACTCAGCTATTCTCCTTTAATCTTACACTCCCTGTATAGTTCATGATATTTGTACAATGTTTGATATAAGATATAAGATTTTGAATTTCAAAATCAACTTACACAAATTGCTATTGAATGTCTATATCAGTTGATAACTATATCACTGAAGTAATCCCTTAGCCAGAAGGAGGCAGCCATAAAATATTCTACTTATTTCAAAACTAATTTCAAGGCTGGGCGCTGTGGCTCATGCCTGTCATCCCAGCAATTTGGGAGGCTGAGGTGGGCGGATCACGAGGTCAGGAGATTGAGACCATCCTGGCTAACACGGTGAAATCCCGTCTCTACTAAAAATACAAAAAATTAGCCGGGCGGGCGTGGTGGCGGGTGCCTGTAATCGCAGCTACGTGGGAAGCTGAGGCTGGAGAATGGCGTGAACCCAGGAGGCACAGCTTGCAGTGAGCCAAGATCGCGCCACTGCACTCCAGCCTGGGCGACAGAGCGAGACTCTGTCTCAAAACAAACAAACAAACAAACAAACAAATTTCAACATCATTAATATTTGAAACAGAACTTGAATCTTTCAGGAATACACATATCTCAGTTCTTAAAAAATAGCCTTTTGTTACATTAACGTATTTAAAATATTTCATACTGTTTGTTACTATATTTATAGCAGATTTAGAATTCCATGATTCTATAATGCCTAGTCCTTATTTCCTTTGGTTAAGTTTAGGATGTGGTAGATTATTGTTCATCAAATATTCACTCCCTTTCCCCCATATTCGTGGAAAGAGTGCCATTCTCCACTCCCTTGATGCTGAACTTAACCAAGTTACTTGCTTTGTCCAATGGGATGTTAGTGAACACGACAGAGGAAGAGGCTTGAGCTGTGCTTGTATAATTGGGATTGCTGTCTGGCATTGCTTTCAGTCACCATGAAAATTATAACATGCCCCAAATAACCACTTGTTCAAAAGGGATAAGAGACACACGGAGTACACTTGAACAACGTGAAGCTAGGAACCTACTCTAGCTAAACCCAACATGGACAAACCCAATCTCAACTACCTCATGAATACACTAAAAAGAAAGACTTTACCCATGTAACAAACCTGCATGTGTACCCCTTGAACCTAAAATAAAAATTGGAAAGAAAATAAATAAATAAGAAAGAAAGAAATGACTATTGTTGGATGTCCCTGAGGTTGTTTTTTTTTAAGTATTTTGTTATGCAGCATTATCATGGCAGTAGATGACTGACACATAGGCTTTATAAAAGACCACATATTATTCAAAGCACTCTTCATTGCAAGCAACAGAAACATAACCCAAACTAATCTATGCAAAGAGAAAAATCAGTTAACTGGATCTGAGGGTTTAGGCAAAGCTGAACTTAGATCCCCTTTTAATATAACTCAATTGGTGTTATCAGGAGTATACCCCTCACCATCTCTCAATTCTATTTTCCTCTGGATTGTTGTCGTTCTCAGAGGAGATCCCTTTATGTGGTGACAAAGATGGTCTCCAGGAATGTTAGGTTTACATACTGCTGGTACATCTAATCTAGAAAGAACAGAGCACCTCTTCCCTAAAATCTCTAGCAGAAGCCCTGGGAATGAGGCTCTCTGATTGTATGGTACACCAGGAGCATACTCCAAACTAATCATTCTGGCTGGGGATACAGTGTTCTGATTGGTCAAGTATGGGCCATGTGACTATCACTGGTGGTGGTGGAAGCAAAGAGAGGCTGTAAGTCCCATCCAAACTTCAGGATCTGAAAATAGGAAAGAAATGGGTCCCCAGGGAAAAATGAAGAAACTGTTACCAAAATGGTACACAGAGGAAAAAATAGCAGAAGAGCATGACAGACACAGCTGTATAGTATTTGACATTTTTTCTGCCTTAATGTAAACAGCCACTACTTTACAGCTTCAAAAAGAAGTGCCATCAGCCCTCTTAAGAAATCTCTCGGGCATGCCCTAGCATTGGTTTTAAGCTCTGTGCCTCAGCTTGGCTGCCCTAAAGGACACTCCTCATTTCACTTGTCCTGGTATTTTCCTAGTCTCTTGGCCTATTTGGGTTGTGGTTGTTTGTTCAGAACAGAAGGCTTTAGTTCTCTCCACACTAACCAGAGGGAAATGATCAAACCTAGAAACTAAAAAAAGCTAGAAACCAACCTCTGCCAGTTTTGCATAAACTATCCTAAATGTATAGCCAAATCTTGGATTTAAAAGCTGTACATTATAATTCAGTGTTTCTGTGCTTTTCTGGTCAAGCACAAGAAACAAGTCTCCCTCAAAGCACAGTTTTCAAACCAAGCCTGGATATCAGCCACTAATTTGGTAAAGAGCTATCTCTTTGTGATTTCCCAAGGGTGACTACGCCAATAAGCTATCAAGCTGACCTATTTTGAAAGCAGGCGCGACATCACTTTGAATTAGGAGTGTCAATGCAAACTAGCTTATTATTGTGAATAATAGCCATTGTTAAACTAGCCCTGGGCGAATCATTCTGCACACGTGGATACATACTTACTGCTTCCGTGTTGGACGCCAGTGCAGATATGAGGCAAATGAAAATCACGTATTTAGCAACCAGTTGGTTTCTTTTTGCTGTTTGGCAAACGGACAGTCTTTTAGAGAATGATTGATCATTTTACTCCTAAAGGCAGAACTATATCTTACCCCCTCTGTTGTCTTCATAGTGTCTAGACCAGTCAGTTGTGTACACAATAAATGTAAGACAAATTGAAACTGTCTATAAGGTTTCTGTCTCCACATTCAAAGCAGATGAATGCCCCAGTCCATGAGGAGATGAGCTATGCTTTTTGTTGTTATCAAACTTTTTTCTAAACAAATAAGCAGCTAAATCTAAGCTGTAAAATAATAACTTGTATAAAATACATTTATTAGTTGCAATAAACACACAGGTAATTAGAAGCAAGGCAGGCATCATTTTTAAGTTAGTCCAGGTCCAAACGGCAGGAGGCTAGAGACCATTATGAGGGTTTTTAACCACTCACTGAACTTTTTTAAAAAGGTCCTTACTAAGAACTAAATCGATTTAAAAATAGTGTTATTTTATGAATGAGATTTATATTACCAACTATGGGAAGAAGCAGGAAATATGTAGAGGACCATCCCAAAATTTCACCTACCATACTTTTCATCAAGCACTTTTTAGCATCATTCTCCGAGAATGATTCTCAAGAAGGCTGAAACATAGGCCAAGCCTACAGTATTTTTATTCTACAGAAGAGGAAGATAAGATTATAAATGGAGCAGTAACTTCCCTGGTTATTTAGTGATCAACCAGGTCTAAAGCTTAGGGTTCTCCTAGCCCCTTTTACTCCCCAGGGACTTGACTTCTTCCTTGATAGCTGGTAATTTTCCAGCTGTTACATGATTTTTATTTCGGGCACAACTTTAATAAGTATGAAGTTTGGCTTTTACTAATGCTTAGCTGTTTACAAAGACTTTCACATGAATTATCTTATTTATCAGTCAAACAATTATCCCATTTAAAACATTAACTACATATGAACAAAAGCTCAAGTACAGATATGAATCTGTATATATACACTTACCTCAGTGCTCACACCCTCATTACGGGAGTAGCAGAGTCACTATCTCGACTTTAAGAAATTTGTGACTTCACAAGCACGCTGATTAATCCAGCATGTGAGGCAGGTAAATGCTAACTATTATTAAGACCCTGATTTTTCAGTTAGCAAAACTGACACAGTCAGTTACTTAATTCAAAAAAAAAAAAAAACCAAGATTATTAAGAGTAAAGGAAGGAGGACAGGCTGTTGGCAGACCAATGCCAAGAACACCCCTCCCCAGTGGGACAGGATTGCTGGTTGATCACAGAGACAAACATAGCAGACGTGTCAAAACAGCAGCTGCTCGTAGTCTTGTCACTTCTGACAGCTCAGCTGACATACTCATCTGGTCACAGCAGCAGCCTTCCAGAAGCTGCCCTCTATTAAGTTCCTATTACATGGTACCATGCACTGTGACAAATGTCTTAATGCATTATATGCCATCAAATTCTGTCTTTTTTTTTTTTTTTTTTTGAGATGAGTCTCACTCTGTCGCCCAGGCTGGAGTGCAGTGGCACAATCTCAGCTCACTGCAACCTCTGCCTCTCAGATTCAAGTGATTTCTCCTGCCTCAACCTCCCGAGTAGCTGGGATTACAGGTGTGAGCCACCATGCTCAGCTAATTTTTGTATTTTGTATTTATTTATTTATTTATTTTAGTAGAGATGGGGTTTCACCAGGTTGGCCAGGCAGGTTTCGAATTCCTGACCTCAAGTGATCTGCCCACTTTGGCCTCCCAAAGTGCTGGGATTACAGGTGTGAGCCACCATGCTTAGCTTATCAAATTCTTATGATAACTCTTTAAGTGGATACCACTATTATGTTCATTTTACAAATGAAGAACTGGTAGTTCAGAGAAGTTAAGCTACATGCCAAAGATCACACAGGAAAGTTGCAGAGCTGAGATTTAAATCTAGCTATCTTTGACTAAAGTCTGTGTCTGTCCCCCAGGCCCCGTAAAGTTCACTGCCCACATTTTCTTCCCACTTTCCTCCTTGCTTTCTCCTTTCCACCACCTTGCAGAATCAAAAGATATCATAGAAGCAAAAAATAACTCTTTCTGACAGGGCCTCTTCCTCTCAATATTACTCTGATGAGACTATTTTAACAGAAACTCTGGAAAAACATGATGTCTCATTACATACACTTTACTTCAACTATTAACTCCCAAAGTCAATGTGGTTCACAGCTGGAAATTTAGCATACACAGTAGCTGTCAGTTTATACCTCTAGCCCCTACTGACAATACCACTGTATCGTAATACATGGCAGAGTACTGATATTACCATGGGTTTACTGTCCATATTTATAATTGATGGAAATGGTACATTTCAACAAAAGCTTAGGAAATATAAAGAAATATTATTTTCCCATCTAAGTTCATAGACTCTTCTATAGTCTTGCAAATAAACCAACTTCTCCCACAGATAATAGCAATCTCCATGGCAAGCTGGCCTTTTATTATGACTTTACAGTCATCAGCAAAGACTTAGGCAGGAAAAGTTGTGAGTGTGTGACAGTTTGGAAAAAGGGCTCAATCAATGGCACAGGAGCTTTGCCTACAAGTTCCTCCTATGGAAAGTAACATTGAAATGCGTGAGTATCTTCTAGAATATATGTAAAACTACATTTCTAACACTGCTGAAAAAAAAAAAAAAAAAAGGAAAAGCAGCTTGGGTATTGGCACCAGAAAAAAAAATTGTCCAAAAAGAGGGAAGAAAACGTGAGAAGGCTGTTGTTTTTTGTTTTTTGTTTTGCTGTGAGACTTTTTGTGGGGTTGTTGCTTTTTTTCTTTTTTCTTTTGAGACAGTTTCACTCTGCCACCCAGGCTGGAGTGCAGTGGCGCGATCTCGGCTCACTGCAACCTCTGCCACCCAGGTTTAAGTGATTCTTGTGCCTCAGCCTCCTGAGTAGCTGGGATTAAGGCACTCGCCAACACGCCCGGCTGTATTTTGTATTTTTAGTAGAGACGGGGTTTCACCATGTTGGCCAGGCTGGTCTCAAACTCCTGACCTCAAGTGATCTGCCCGCCTCGGCCTCCCAAAGTGCTGGGATTACAGGTGTGAGCCACCGCACCTGGCCAGGATTTTGTTTTGGTGCTGCCCTAGATGCCCCTGTCTAGTGTAAACTATGTTTTTTTCTTTCTTCCTTTCTCCACATTTTTAAATTGCTATGCAGGTGTTTAGCTCTGGACACAGAACCAACAGAAACAATCAGAAGCTCTGTTAGGCCAAAACAAATTCCAGATTCCTTTTCTCCTCTTCCTTTATACCCCTCCCCTTCTCCAAAATCAAGGACCACAAAGTATCCAGTTGGAAGAATAATTTCCTCTAAGAGCCAAGGTTCTTAACCTTTACTGTTACATGGACTCATTTTACAATTCAATGGAGCCGTTGACTGCTTCTCAGAATAACAATTTTTAAATGCATTAAATAAAATATATAGAATTATTAAGAAAAACATCAATAATGAAATATTTATAGTCTTTTCTTAATTTTATTTTTCCATAAGTTATTGAAGTACAGGTGGTATTTGGTTAGATGAGTAAGTTCTTTAGTGGAGATTTGTGAGAACCTGGTGCACCCATCATCCGAGCAGTATACACTGCACCATATTTGTTGTCTTTTATCCCTCGCCCCCCTCACACTCTTCTCCCCAAGTCCCTGAAGTCCATTGTATGATTCTTATACCTCCTCATAGCTTAGCTCCCACATATCTATAATAATATTTTTAATTGCTGTAGTGAGGCATGTGCTCCCTTACTAACGCTTTAAGTAGAAAGATCTAGTGGTAGGTCTAATATTTACCATAATATCTAAGTAGTGTTGGACGTAAAGCATCTGTTGAGACCAGATGTCTCTACATCAACAACTGTATTGTAATATGTTACAGAATGCTGACATTACCGTGGGTTATTTGTCCATATTTATAATTGGTAGAAAAGCTATATTTCAACAAAAGCTTAGGAAATACAAAGAAGTAATGTTTTCCCATTAAGTTCATGGACCCTGCTATAGTTGGAATGTCCCTTCCAATACACTTTTTGAAACTCAATCCCCAATATGCCAGTATTGAGAGGTAGGGCCTTAAAGAGGTGATTGGATCACAAGGGCTCAATTCAATGAGAATTGAATGAATCCATCCATTCATGGATTAATGGATTAATGAGTTATCATGAAAGGGGAACTGGTGGTTTTACAAGAAGGGGAAGAGCAACCTGAGCTAGCCCATGTGCACAGTCATCCTCCTTGCCATGCAACCAGCAAGGAGGCTCTCATTAGATGCGGCCTCTCAACATTGGATTTATTAGCATCCCTAACTGTAAGAAATAAATTCCTTTTCTTCTGGATTATCCAGTTTCAAGTATTCTGTTATAAGCAACAGAAAATGGACTATTACAAACTCCTTGACTTCGATCCATGGATCCCAAGATTAAAATCCTTTTCCTAGAGGCATATATACTGGTTTGAAATCACCCTTAAATTTTTACACCTCTGCACTCTCTGCCTTGTCTCCTTAACCTGCTGAGCGTCTCTCACCAAATGAAGAGCTTATGCTTGATATCTGAGTTCCCAGCACCTTTCAGAAAGATTGTTTTAAAGGCACCTTGAATATGGTAGAAATGTTAGGAAGCCTGAAACAGTAGAGATTTTGTTTGTCTTTTCTCCAGCTATTAAATTTAAGGCTTTGGAAATGGAAGTTGTCCTTCAAAGGGCTTATGGAGAAAGGATTTCATCTGTAGGCAACTGGGCTGGAATAAACCAAACTTAGGCCATGCCTATATAAAGATTTTAGTGCAATTTAAACTTTGAAAAAAAAAAGAAATATGCAGAAAAAGATGTTTTAAAAGGCCATGAAAATGGCAAAGAAAAGGAGAGAAAGAGATGGAAGAAAGATAAAAGGAAAGGAAGAGAAAACAGAAGATTTTTAACAAGATTCTCAAAAGCGTGGCAATCCAATGAATATTAGAAATAAACTAGAACCTCGTTGTCATTGTGACTTTAGTTTTGGTCATTCAAACAGCTCTGAATATCAGCATTCAGTTTTCCAAAATGACAGGCTTGGACTTCTGACTCCTTAATATCAAGACGACTGTGCAGAAAAGCAACCATCACTCAACTGACAATTACACTCCTTATCTCAGAGGAGTCCAGAAAATTCGGGCAACTTCAAGTAAAGGGTCAGCTCTCAAACACAGTATTTTCCAAAACGACTATGACTATCTTAAACATATATATAGCTATGCAAATTCCACGTTTCCTTTCATGCTATTTTCAGATTGTTTTTCAAATTAAACATTAGACTCTGCAGCTCACAGAGGATGTTAGATTAAAGGGCCGGTTGCGTTCCACAAGGTTTGGGTTTTCCGCATTTGCCTAGAAATAGATTTTCTCTGGGTGGGCCAGGTGAAATGCAACAAAGTTATTGTTACCTCACTTCCCTTGGCTTTTTGGGTGGAGAAGCCAGATGAAAGAGAAAAAGAAAAGAAGAAAAATAAAGGAGCGGCCAGAGAGGAAGAACAAGGAGAGGGAGATGCCATTTTGGACTCAGTGAGGTCAGATGGATCTACCACCAGATTTTTTGTTGTTTAAAGAACAAACAGAGAAGAGGTAAGAAAAAAATATGTGGCTTACAACAATGATAAAAGCAGAAATATTCGCCTCTCACATTGCACATCAGTGCTGGTTTGCCCAAGATGCTACAAAACAAGGGCAAATAGACCCCAAGCATCCAGGTCTCATTTGATTCTGTCCTGTGAAGCAGATGGGCCTTTGGCTGCATTTAATTCATTTACACAACAGTGAGCCTTGGCTGAGAGCTAAAAGAGAAACGTTAGGCGTGAGTGCTTAATTTTATACCCAAAATCATACTTTTTAAAAGGCACCGTCTACAGATTCTTCATTAAATTATATAACCTGGCACAACAAGTTGGTTTTCTTTAATTTAGAGTGTACCCGCAGATTTCTTCCCAGCCAGAGGAGTATGCTAATTACGTGACCAATTCAGTTACTGAAGCACACCATGCTATTAGCAAGGGGATTGAAGAGCAGTTTTGACAAGCTCAGAGCCTGTCAGGGACATGAACTTAAGGCCTTAGGCCAACATCTGACTCTCTCCTGCCTCTAGCATCTGAATAATCCATATTTTTACTTGGGGCGGGGTGATGTTTACATATTGCACAGATCTTATTTTTAGCAAACTTAACAATAGCTGGAAAAGCAGCAAGGGCCTTGCACCTCTGCAGAAAAGCAGGACTTCCAAAAAGCCATTCCCTCCGTCTCCTGTTATAATTTATGTTATGATGAAGCTATAGATCAGTCATCGTGCCCGTTAATTTTTTTTTCAACAGCTATTACCTCTGCTAGCTTTGCTTCAGGCTATGTAGTGCAAACACAATTGTTATCAAGGAATGAATTTTGGGGATTCACAGCTTTGTCACACTGTTTTCTACAGGAAGATGTTGCCAGAAGAGAATTCTCCGGGGCTCACACCGTCTACTCCCCTCTTCCTTCTCCAGCAACAACAGTGAAAAGTCTGCATTGGCATCCTGAACATTGAGCTCCTGATGTTTTTTATTTTTAGAGACAGGGTTCTCACTTTGTCACCCAGGCTGGATGGCAGTGGCAGGATCATAGCTCACTACAGCCTTGATCTCCCAGGATCAAGCAAACCTCCTGCTTTAGCCTCCTGACTAGCTGGAACTACAGGTGCACATCACACACCTAGCTAATTGTTTTAATGTTTTCAATTTTTTTGTAGAGACAGGGTCTTATTATATTGCCCAGGCTGGTCCCAAATTCCAGGCTGGGCTCAAATGATGCTCCTGCCTCAGCCCCTCAAAGCACTGGGATTAGAGGTATAAGCCACCACATCTAGCCCTCAATCTTTTCATAGTCAAATACAGATGCTCAATAGTGATGGTGAGCATTTTTTCATATGTTTATTGGCCATTTGTATATCTTCTTTTCAGAATTGTCTATTCACATCCTTAGCCCATTTTTTTTGGATGGAATTTGTTTGTTGTTTTTTTTTTTCAACGCTAATTTGTTTGAGTTCCTTATAGATTCTGGATGTTAGTCCTTTGTCAGATGTATAGATTGTGAACATTGTCTCTGACTCTGTGGGTTGTCTGTTCGCTCTGCTGATTGTTTCTTTTGCTGTGCAGAAACTTCCTATTTCATTAAGTCCCACCTATTTGTCACTGTTTTCGTTGCATTTGCTTTTGGGTTTTTTGGCCTTGAAGACCATCTTACTCCTTAAAGACTGGTAATAATCAAAAAATAATAAATGTTGGCAGGGATGTGGTGAAAAGGGAACATTTTTACACTGCTGGTGGGAATGTAAACTAGTACAGCCATTATGGAAAACAGTGTGAAGATTCCTTAAAAAACTGAAAGTAGAATTACCATTTGATTTAGCAATCCCACTACTGGGTATCTACCCAGAGGAAAGGAGTCATTATATGAAAAAGATACTTGCACATGCATGTTTTTAGCAGCATAATTTGCAGTTGCAAAAATATGGAACCAGCCCAAATGCCCATGAATCAATGAATGGATAAAGAAATTGTGCTTTATCTACACCATGGAATACTATTCAGCCATAAAAAAGGAATGAAATAATGGCATTTTCAGCAACCTGAATAGAACTGGAGACCATTAATCTAAGTGAAGTAGCTCAGGAATGGAAGACCAAGCATCATATGTTCTCACTCATAAGTGGGAGTGAACCTATAAGGATGAAAAGGCATAAGAATGATCCAATGGACTTTGGAGACTTGGGGGAAATGGTGGGAGGGGGTGAGGGATAAAACACTAAAAATTGGGTACAGTGTATACTGCTCAGGTGATGGGTGCACCAAAATCTCACAAATCACCACTAAAGAATTTACTCATGTAACCAAACACCGCCTGTTCCCCAAAAACCTATGGAAATAAATATATATATATAAATGCTCAAAATTAAATTTTATAAAGACCCCAAATGAGGACATTATCCTGGGTTCTCTGGGCATCACTCACTTCACTTCCATAACATATTTTACAAACCTCAGAAGCTAGAACATAGCTCTTCACCATTCCCCCCCACCTCTCAGTGCCAGAGTTGTTTTTTCTCCCTGTCTTAACCAGCGTCCATAATCAAGAATGGGTTTAAAGTCCCAAGCTTGACTATACTGAACTTTGGGATCACCTGGGAAGCTTTAAACAATACTCATGCCTGGTACCACTGCCTGAGGTTCTGATTTAATTAGTGTTAGCAGTTCTCTCTGCTGAGAACTTGACAAAATAAATCATTTCAAGGCTACTTTTGAAAATAATGGTAAAAGATTCCTGTTAATAGCATTTCTGGGAATTTGAATGGGAAAAATGAGTGTGTTCGTGGTTAGGAGGAAGTGAGGGTGTGGTTGGAGGTCACTTCCCATTAAAGTCCTTACTGTTTCAGCCACAGAAACAAGTCATATAGATATATATTTTCTTTAGCTGTTCTCTGTGCCTGAAAAGCTCTCTCTCCTCTCATCCCATCCCCACCCCAGGCCTTCTATCTCACTTCCTCCAGGAGGACTTCCTGGTCTCTAGGACAGAGCTGGACCCCTGCTATCCCACCTCCTGTCCCTTTGGGCTTCTTCTTTAGAATACATGCTGCAGAGTTGCTTTTATCTATTTGTCCCCTAGCCTATATGTACCACAAGTGCAAAATGCACACCTGTATTGCTCAAGGTTGTGTCTGCGTAGCCTCGCACTGTGCCTGTAACATAGTAAATGCTCAATAAATATTTGTTGAATGATTGAAAGTAGATCCTTATTTACTTCTTCCAATATTTAGATTTAAAATATCTTCTTCTAATGGCCATGAGACACCAGCATCTAAAAGATCCTGTATTCCAGGGGTGGCAATACATTTGCTCTTTGGTTTCAAGGGCCCAACTTTTGGCCTTCACCCTTTCTGTAAATACACTGGGTGCAGGGGGAGATCATCTCTGGGAATTTGCCTCATCTTGGGATGAAAAGAGCGCTGGTTTATATCAAGTGGTGGAGCTCAAGCCCTGCCTCTCTCAAGATAGTCTATCCGGAGGGTTTCTGTGACAGGTAAACGAGAAAGCATATTGAAGTCTATTTAAACAGCAACATGTTGAGTAAACTGTGCTAGCTGTCATGCTCAGCACTAGAGTTCAGCTCTGGAGATCACCTCAGGAACTATGACCTTCCAGCTATTAATTGCATGTCTCCTAACCTGTTAATGTCTACAAGCAGGTGCTTAGGGCTATCTGCACATGGAAGAAACTGCCAGTGTAGGCTCACAATCGGAAAGGCTTAGCTTCTCCATGAGTCTATAAATATAAAATAAATATCCTGTCTTACTTGAGATTACTTCTGGGGTGCATTTCACTTAGTACGTATTCCATCTTGTAACTATTTCTTTTACTGGCCACATCAGCCCCTGCCTTTGAAATACCTTCCTTCTGAATTAGATACATTCATTGTTTACCCCTTCCTGTATTGAGCACGTTTTTGGATTATTTTTACTCCATCTACAAGCTGGGTCTGCACAACAGCTGGCTTTGGAGGTGTTCATCAGAATTTTGTCCTTTTTTAGGTTCAAATAGAAAGAGTGTGTCTCTTAGCAAAGTCAAAGTGGTGTGACATCTCTCAGAGCAGAGTAAGGAGTCATGATACATGTGTAAATTCTGAACCTCTGAAATTTTCTACAATTCTCAGTTCACCTCACTTCTCCTCCCACTCCCCATAAAGTCTCTCACTGTAAACAGAGCCCTTGACTACCATTTTCCCTGCTCTGTGTGTGAGCCTAGCCAGAGCTCAAGCAAGGGCCACTGGAAAGCATCAGAAGGCACCTTCAGTCCCAGCTCCTCCATCACCCTCCTGGGAAGCACCTGAGAGGGTATTCCACTTCTGGGAGCTTCTGTCTCCTCATCTGCATATTAAGAGGGTGAACTCCTTCTTCCACCAGGACCTTCATTACTGACCCTATTAATACTTAATGAGAACTACAGAATACATTGAACAGGCATGGGTTTCCTTTCTTTTGTTGGGGGTGGAGGGGATTTTAGTTAATATAAATTCAAATTTAGAGAAAAGTTATAAGAATAGTACAAAAAACTTCCACACATTCTTAATCCAGATGCACAAATAGTTTACATTTTACTTGATTTCCTTTATTATTTCCTGTCTTTCCAAACACACACACACACACACACACACACACACACTTTTGTAGTGCTTGAACCTTTTGAGAGTAAGTTGCAGGCATTATGTTCTGAATAATTCAGTGTTTATTTCCTAGCAACAAGGACTTTGTGCCCATACATAAGGCATACAAAGATCATTAAAACAATACAATGATGAAAACAAGGAAACTTAAATGTAATTAATTCATAGGCCATATTTTGATTTCATCAACTTTCTCAATAATGCAATGCAGCCTCTCTGAGGATTTGGATGTCTCAGTCACACATACTGTTCATCATCTCTGCAGTAGTCTTTATTCTGAGCAAAGGCTCTTTAGCTCTCTTTAATCTTGAAGCTCTTCTTTTGACTTTCAAGACCTTGATTTTTTTTCGAGAGTACAGACCTGTTATTCTATGAAATTTCCCTTTATTTATGTAGGTCTGATTGTTTATCATTAGATTTTGTTTGTGAATTTTGGGCAGAAATACAATAGCAGTGATGTTTTGTTCTTCCCGATGTATCCTATTTGAGGCTTCTCCAAATAGGATGATGTAGCATTGTCCCCATTGATAGTTGATTAAGGGATGTCTACCAACATTGGAGATTAACTTGAGATAATAAGAACACTATGTTCTTAATATATTCCCTGCTGTAAATGGTGAAACAAAACTTCTAATGTGCCTACTTTAGAAAAAAAAAGATGTAAGTTTTTTGGAAGAATACATCTCCTCTCTAGATAAATAGATAGCTAGAGAGACATAGATACACCTATATGCAGATATTTACATATATGTATGTAAATTTACATATATATAAAATGTATGTATAAAAATTCAATTATTTATTGATTTCCCAGTAGACACTAAATTGCTAGATATTACACAGAGAATCACTATATTACTCATATATTCTTAACTGGCCATCAAACTGCTCTATTTTACCACCCAATTCAGAGCAAGTAAATCATCTCTGATGTATACTAGTGGTAGGGTCTGGTTAAGCTCACTTGGCTTGGATTCAGGAAACCTGAGTTCAAGATGAAGCATACTACAGCTCACACACTCTCTCTCTTTTTCAGACCTGATTCGCATCCAGACAAATTAATTTTGGTCTCAATTACCAAAGTGGATACCCCTTTCAGACGGCATACTAGCTCTTAAAGTATACCATCTGCAAAAGACTGCTGAGAAGGGTGTTCAGCATTATTAGCCATTGAGGAAATGCCAAGTAAAGCCACAATGAGGTATTGCTACACACCTGTCAGAATACCTAAAATTAAAAATAGTAACAACAACAAATACTGGAGAGGATGCAGATAGACTACATTCCTCATAGATTGCTGGTGGAATGTACATGGTACAGTCACCCTGGAAAACAGCTTGGCAGTTTCTCATAAAACTAAACATGTAATTACAATACCACCGAGCAATCGCACTCTTGGCATTTATTACAGAGAAGCAGAAACCTAGGTTCACATAAAAACCTGCACATAACTATTCATAACAGATTTATTCATATTATCCTAAAATTGCAAACAATCCAGATGTCCTTCATCTATATCATGGAACACTACTTAGCAGTGAAAAGGAACAAACTATTGATGCACCCACATCTGGGATGAATCTCCAGAGCATTATGCTGAATCAAAAAAGATAATGCCAAAAGGTTATACATTGTATGATGTAATTTATATTATATTTTCAAAATGACAAAATTATAGAAATGGAAGCGATTAGTGCTTGCTTGCCAGGGATTGGAGATGGGGGAGAGGGTGAAATGGGAGGGAGATATGGTATAAAAGCTAAACAAGAGGAATTTTTGTGGTGATGAGATTGTTTTGTATCTTAACTTCCCCATAAGGGGAAACTTGGTAAAGGATGCTTAGTGCATGGGATTTCTCTATATTATTTCTTCTAACTGCAAGTGAACCTACAATTACCTCTAAATAAAAAGTTTAAGTTTTTCAAAGACTACTGCATAAGCTGATTGTGTTGTATTTCTTGGCTCCAAGATTAATGGAAATTTTGGGGAAGCCTGGGGAAAAACAGACAAGGAATTGACAAAATGACAGCAAGATTCCCGCCTGGTCTTTGAGCTCCCTTTGTGATGCCAAATGCTAGGAATGTGTGTCTGTCTTCAGCAGCTGTGTGGAAACTCCAGGACTTAGCAGAGAGACCCTCTTAAATTATAAGATGCAGGTGGCCTCTCCAGGGAGAAAGTGTCCCTTGGAGATAATGCAAAATAGCCCCAAGCTCAATAGAACTTTTACTTCCCTGACTACTTGAAAAGCTATTTGCAGGGCTGTGCTAATGAAATTGAAGTGGTTTGTTTCTTTTGGCAGAAGCAGCCAATCTGGTCCTGATGTCTAGTCTTCTTAGAAACCCAAATACACTGACACCAGGACTCACACTACCAAATGCGGTCATAGGGAAGCTAATACTACACCCTTTTCTGATGATAATATTGCAACAATAAATGTAAAGGCCTTGAAGCCCAACCAAGAGAACTCATTCAAAGTCCATGGGGTGAATAATAGAACTAACAAAAATTAGTACTTAGTGAACACTCATGGTGTAATTTCATGAATTATCTTGTTTAATCCACACAGGTATGTGAAGAATTAGGTGTAATTATTCCTACGGTTTACAAGAGGAGGAAGCTAAACTTCAGAGAGGTTAAGTGATATGCCCGAGGTAATAAAGGGACAGGCCAGGATTGCACCTGAGGCAGAGAACTAAATTCTCTATCCCCATACTAAATAACATGCCTTCAAGACAAGTATACCATAGAACACAGGTATGCCTGAATGAGGACAATGTGTGTGTTCCCAGAGACATTCATCAGGGTGCATTTTAATAGGGAAAAAAAATCTGAACCCGTGTTTTTTCTTTTTTTTTAATAGCCATTCAAAAATTTAGAATAGCATATGGTATATAATCTGAATGGCCCCTTCAATCAATCTCTTGAATTTAGTAATTATTCTGTTGAAGTGTATGGCTTTAATAACTAACACCCTCCTCCAAAGTAGGCAAACCATCCAGTGTCCCCTCCCCCATACACACTGGAACAGTTCAGTTAGTTTGATTATGACTTTAGTTCAGATTTGGGTTAGCAATTGAATTTCCATTTCTCATGCACATATGAAACCTAGACCTTTGCTTTAAATGAAGTTTGGTCTTATATTTACATTTTTTCATTCTGCTAACAGAATATATGAATGGTTGTTATTATTACTATTGTTGTAATCACCTGGAAACGGTTGTTCCTCATTTCAAAAGTTTTATTTTATTTAATTCCTCAGTTGTTGCTTAATAGTAACGAAGTCTGATGATTAATAGAATTACAATAAACTACAATTTGCCTTAGGAAATGAAAAAAAGGTGTGCTTCTAGAAACAAAGGTTGAATGTTTAGTTGAAATAACTCATTAATTAAAGAAAACCAAAGTTTTCTATGGCCTAAAAAAAGATTTGTATAAATAGTTATTGATCATAGAGGAGTATAAATATTTCATGATTTTTCACCATTTTAATTACTAAATACAATAAAATTAATATACATTAATAATTTATTTGATATTTACTACATGGCTAATTTTTAAATGATATTGTGACTTGCTTTGAATATTCTCAAAAACGTGGACATTCATATTTTTTAAATTGATTTTCTGAATCTTTAAAAGCCTCCAGTTCCTTTAAGTAATTCGTATGTAAATGGCTTCAATTTTTTAAAAAGAGATAGCTAGATAGCTAGATAGATAGAACTTGTCAACCAGGAAAGTCAATGAAGAGTATCTCACATTTAGATTAGTATAACTCCACAATTTTTGTCGTCCTCAACCTAAATGGTTTACTTTCTAGAAAAAGTTATGAAATAAAGCCATAGTGGCCTAGCAAACTATGTCATCAACTACCACAAAACATCCAGTTTCCCCAGGGGGGGAATATTAGAACACTTAAAAACATCTGCAAGCATGAAATAAGAAAGTGTCAGATCAAAGGGAGGAAGCTAGTTACAAGGTCGGTTGAGCAATTAATAGGTAAAGACAAAAAATTCATGTACAAGTCCAGAAGCACTCATGTTCCCTTCCTGCATGGAAATTGTCAAATTTGTGTTTGGAAACAATGACACAGGAAATAGAAAAGGTTCCACTTTTGAATAACATAGCTCGTAGATGGTGTCATGCTAGATAAATAATGACAACTGATCCCAAAGATTATTCCTGAAGGATTGATGACTCTTTGGAATTCAGTAACCATGGTCAATTAATGGCATTGGTGAGTCTCTGACAAGGTCTCTTGGAAGAACATTGTTCTAAAAAATAATAATTAGAGTAGTATCAATAAGTTAACTAATTTTAAAATATATTTATATCCAAGATGAACTACTCAAAATAGTAAATGAATAATTTGAAACACATTTAAAATATCACAGAACAGCTGGAAAGTTTGCACCTGCAATAACAGAAGTATAAAAGTTTACATCAAGAGTTTGTTTTGAAAACTCCACATTTCCAGTAACTTATTGTTTTATTCACAGAGAAACTCAGTTTTGAGGATTGAGATTAAATGTGAATAACAGTTACCAAATTCATTTTCCTGTCAATTTCCTAACCTACATATAAAGTGACAGTCCAGCTTACTAACCTTAGGCAGTAAGAATATACAATTAACTTCACATTAAGTACCTAAGGAATCAATTTATTGAGCACTTACTATGTGCATGTACTTACTCAAGCACCAAGAATCAAGTGATGAATAAGACAAACAGATCCTTGCCTTCATGGAAGTTATCTTTTTAACAGCAGAGACAATATTAAAGATAATTAATTATAATCATGATAAGTGCTCAGAAGGGGAAGTACAAGGTGATAGGAAAATGTGTAACAGAGTCCAGATATGATCTGGGGAATCAAGAAAACTAACCTTAAGGAAGTGACATCTGATTTAGGATCTGAATAAAACTTCAAGATGAACCAGGAACCAGGTGTTGAGCGGGACAGGGCAGAGAGGAGGAGGGGAGGGTTGTGAATTTGAAGTTTATTTTGGGCAACCTTAATTCTAGAGACATTATAAAGGCTCTGAGACTTGAGGGAGCATGACACGTGACAAAACTCTGTTCATATAGGTCTGTGTGACTATGGACACATAGAAACTTCCAGCAGGAGATCCAGGTAAGAGACGATGGTAACTTAGATCATAGTGGCAACAGTGGAGATTAAGTGAGGTGAATGGATATGAAAGCTATTTTCCAAGTGAAAACAACTGGAGTTGGAGATGACTTTGACATGGGAATTAATGGAAGGAGATAGAGATGTCAAGGATGGTTCTTAGCTTTCTGGCTTGACCATCTAGATTGGTGTTATTCAGTGATGTAAAGAACAAGATTGTGAGGGGGTCACACATTCAGTTCTGAGCATGCTATATTTGAGAAAGCCTGAAAGAGAAGTGTGTATTAAAGATACAACTTTGGAAGTGATTGATGTAGAGATTACTGAAGCTATAGGCATGATTGCGGTAAACTGGAAACAGAATACTGAGCTAGAAAGGGAAATGGTCTTTGACTTATTTCTGAGGATCTCCAACATTAAGACTTGGCAGTATGTACCTAAAGAGATGAAAGGAGTGAAACTAAAAGCAAGAGGTTGACAGCATTATCAAAGTCAAGGGAAGACTTTGATTTAAGTCAACATTCTAGTGTATGTCACAATTTCATTAAATGTCTTGGTGGCTATTGAGGCATGTGGTTTAAACAGTGATTGTCATCATAAATAAATAGCATATTTGCTTATTTTTATTTTCCTCAGGAACTGTAACTTAGATAAAATCTGTGAAGGAAAAGGTAGTTCACTGTCCGAGATGATAGGACTAGCTATCTATGGCTATTTAAATTAATTAAATTAAAATAAAATTGAAAATTCAGTTATTCAGTTACACTAACCACATTCCAGTAACTACATGTGCCTAGGGGCTAACATCTTGGACAAGGTAGACATAAAACATTTCCATCCTTGTAGAATAGTTCCATTGAACAGTGCTAGTCTAAGAGAACCCTGAGTCAATGAGAAACCAGGTTTAAGTGAAGCAAAACTTATGTTCCAGATCTTCAAATACTGCCAACATTTCAGGTCAGAAAGTCAGGATGGAATAAAGAAGATGACAAGAGTCATAAAGAAGCTATAACATGGCACTTGCCTCCATTACAGATGAGAGGACTGGGGCCGGGGACCAGTGTGTTACTGAATGTGTTCCAAAGGGAAAGGGCTGAAAGTTGGATTGGGGAACTTTCAACTAAGGACCAAGCAATGCAAGGTCTTCAAGTATAAACTCTGACATGAGGGGATGAAGTCTTCCTTAAGCAGGGAAGTCAAATCTACTCTAGGTACCCTTTTGACACACTTGCCTAAGATCTGCCAAGCTTCATATTTCTGGATAAATTAGAAGTTTTGCCAATGCTACCTGCTAGCACAATTTAACATTTTTTTTTTTTTTTTTGAGATGAAGTCTCACTCTGTCACCCAGGCTGGAGTGCAGTGGCATGATCTTGGCTCACTGCAACCTCTGCCTCCCAGATGTAAGCAATTCTCTGCTTCAGCCTCAAGAGCAGCTGGGATTACAGGCATGTGCCACCATGCCCAGCTTATTTTATTTTATTTTATTATTTTTCAGGAGCGACGGGGTTTCACCATGTTGGCCAAGCTGGTCTTGAACTCCTGACTTCAAGTGATCCACCTGCCTTGGCCTCCCAAAGTGCTAGGATTACAGGCATGAGCCACCGCACCCGGCCCACATTTTAACTTTTATATTATAAAATCCAAAAAAAGAATATTAATAACAGCAGTGAATGAAGGTCATCTTTCAGAAAACCCATGAAAATCTGTTAAACTATGGTTTTCAAATTTAAATTCCAGGCATTTTTCCCCACCCACTTCACTATAGCCAATACGCTCTCATATGAAGGAGTAAAGAAAACTGAATACCCCACAAACATAGTTTCAAATATTGAAATTAGAGTGCTTCAGGGAAAAATAATTTTTAAATCTGGTATCACTGCACATTGAATGTCATTCATGAGTCTACCAGACATGACCATTTTACCATATTTGGGTTAACATGCTTTTAAGTCATTAAATAATGAAGTCACTATTTTTTGTTCAAATATTAGTAAGTGCAATGGCCCCATCTCTTCCCTGGAAGAGATAATAAAAATAACAATAACTAACATAAAATAGGCACTTATTATTGGCCAGGCTCTTCATATTTATTAGCTGACTTAATCCTCACAATAAGCTTAAGAAATTTATGAGATGGGCACTATACTCATCCCCATTTACAGAAGAAAATACCAAAGGAGGACTTTTATTTATTTATTTATTTTGACATGGAGTCTCGCTCTGTCACCCAGGCTGGAGTGCAGTGACGCGATCTCGGCTCACTGCAACCTCTGCCTCCTGGGTTCAAGCGATTCCCCTGCCTCAGCCTCCTGAGTAGCTGGGATTACAGGCACGTGCCACCACACCCGGCTAATTTTTGTATTTTTAGTAGAGATGGAGTTTCACCATGTTGGTCAGGCTGGTGTTGAACTCCTGACCTCATGACCTGCTTGCCTCGACCCCCCAGAGTGCTGGGATTACAAGCATGAGCCACCATGCCTGGCCAGGAGTACATTTTAATAGAACCAATATAATAGAGATAGAATCCCCATGCCTAAATTAATCAACAAAATAGAAAAGCATTTCATTAAATATTTAATTATGCAATTAAAACTAGAGATGACATAGGATTTGAGTGGAGGAAAAATTTCATATTGGCCAGAGTAGTTTGGAAATGGAATTTTTAGGAGAATTTTAATAGAGAAACTTGCTCATTCATGTATTTAAAAATTATTTACTGACTCTCTAGTGTATATGAGGCACTGGGTTATAGGCTGGAGATAAAAAGCTAAATAACCCTATATGCACTCATAAGAAAGAGGCAGAGAAAGGGGAGGAAAAAACTGTTTTAGGTAAAGTGCCACAAAGGACTCTCAAAATGGATCTTTGATTTATCCTTAATCTTCCTGTTTCCCTCTCTCCCTCCCTTTTTTTTCTCTCTTTCTCTCTGTCTTTCTCTTTCACCCTGTGTGTTATTTTTACATCCACATACTTGTAGAAAGATTCGAGGTGGTCTACATTTTTAATTAGATAATCAGCATAACCATGTCTTGATTTGCTTAAGATAGTTTCAATTGATGCTTAATACTGTGGTATAATTATAACTATAATTATAACTAGTGCTCTCTTTTACTCTCAAAAGTATCCTGATTTGGATGATAAATAATATGTCCACTCTACAAATAATACTTGCTTTTGTAGAAACCAAAACAAGGAAGAGAAAGGCACATACTCTTGTCAACACAATCACAGTCAATAATATCCCAGAAAAACCAAAAAGTCGTGACTTTCTATTGCCAGAAGAAGTTTTAGACGGGAAAATTCTTTCGACTGAGTTCAGGGCAACTAGGGTGTAAGGGGCAGGTGGCAGAGTCAGAATTAGGCAGGAAATAAGCCAACTTGAAAGACAGCACCTTCCACAGTTGTCCTGTTCAAAAGGTCTAAGTTTAAGTTCCCTAGACTTTCTCTGGAAAAATCTCATCAAAATCCTAGATGCCTCCAAGTAAAGCCCCCCAGCCCAACTCACTCCATGAGTGTCTACCTCTGAACTTCCAACTGCCTGTTGGACATCTCCGTCCAGAGTCGTAGGGGTAGTTCACTCATGGTGCCCATACGTAATTCATTATGCCGTCCCACCACAGTTTGCTCTCCCTCCTGTCATCTCCAGCTCAGAGAATTGCAGATCTTTCTACCAATCACACAAGCAGAAAGAAAAACTGACATCATGCTTGATACCACCTATTCCTGCACTTCTGCAATTGATAAACGACCAGGTCCTGTAATTCCACTTCTCTCACAGCTTTTTCCCCTACATTCTCATCTCTCCAGACCCACTAAAACTGCCTGTTGTAGTCTGGATTTCCCCCAGATCAGACCCTGAAATCAGGTTTGAGTTCAAGTGGTTTATTTGGGAGGTGATTCCAGGAAAAACTGTGAGAATGTGGAGAAACGATATGGAGAAAGGAAGACATCAAGTTACTACTGTGGGCAAGCGAAGCTCACCCTCACTGGTGTCCTCTAAGAAACAGCACTGAACATGCCTCAGCAGAGTTGGCCTAGGGGGTGAGGAAGCTGGAGTATTTATCCACCTACTCCCATCCCTCATTAATTGAGGGTTGCTCCTGGGACATTATCTCCCTTAGTGCCTTGAGGGTCTATACACAGGCCAAGCATCCTCCTTCTGCCAGAAAACGCCTTTGGAAGAGAGTCGCAGAAAGCCTTTGGTGTGTTCTGGTGCATTATTCAGTGGCTTCCAAGTGGGCCACACATGCTGGTCTCAGGCACCACCTTACTTCAGGCTCTCGTGACACTGAGCCTTGATTCTGGCAACAGGGTCCTAATGTGTTTCCTTATCTCCCACCCTTGCATTCTTCTTTCATTCTCTACACAGTAGACCATGTGATGATTCTACAGTTGATATAGATGTGATCGTGTCCTTCCTGGGATGGAGTCCTTTAACAGTTCTCCAAGTTCACGGAAATACCTCAGCTTTTTCTTGGCTTCTTCTCAACTCTTTCTGTACCTGCTGTCACCTCTCTATCTTGTTGCTCCTGCGTGTTTGGGTAACTTGCTTTCTCTGCAGAGACCTCTCCTTTTCCATGTTCCTCCCTCTCTAGCAGCCTCTTGCATTTACTCCACTCTTTTGCCCACCTGGTGGACATGCACCTGTCTTCTAAAACTCAGTTTAAGTATTATTTCCTCTATGCAATCTTTTTCCATCCTTCAGGCAGGTTTATCCTGCCATGCTTTGTGTCCCAGTGCGCCCTCTGCACCATTCTGTCTTCTCCACTTTTTGAAGAAAGCCTCTTGAAGGTAGATGCAGTGTTCCCAGTGCCCTCTATGGGAGTTTTTCACTTTTTTGGTGCTATGAAACCCTTTGGCAATCTGGTGAAGCCCTGTATCCCTTTTCCAAATAGCTTTAAATGCACAAAATAAAATACATTAGATTACAAAGGATATGAATTATATTGGCACAAGTATTAAAATATTTTCCAAAAAGTCTATTCAGTCTTACAGGTGATAATGGCTGCCTGCTGTTGTCAGACACAGAAAGCTTCACCGTCCCTTGTAAGTTTCTTTTAGATCTGTCTACACTCTTGTAAATAGTTCCTTTCTCAAATACCTCCATTTAAGTGTGGTAGCTCTTCCTCCTTCCACCCTCACTTTGATGAATCTAGTGTGCAGCTCTCTTATGGGGTTTTGATTTTACCCATGGCCGCAGATCTATCCGTGCATCAGACACACTCATACACAGCTGAATCCCAGTGTAGATTCCCTGGTACTCATCCCTGACATTCCTACAGAAAGATCATTTTACTGTACATTTGACCACCTTCCTGTTTGCTTTGACATCTCATTTATTCATTCATTTGTTCAACAAATGGTCCACATTTTTGCATGCCTTAAGCTGCCTTTGCTGTTTTTAAAATGGTGAGGCAGCATACAGATTATGGAATTTGGAGAAAGGCAGACATTTTTGCCACTTACTAAGAGGAAGCTCGGGCAAGTTAGTTAGCCTGCCCCGACCTTGGTTTCCTTAATTCTTAAGGATGGCAGTTGTGAGTATTAAGTGGGCTAAGGTATGAAAAGTGCCGAGAGCCATGCCTGGCCCACAGCCGATGTCCTAGATCAGAGTTCTAAGGAAAATGACTTTAAGGCAGATATCTGTGTAAAGAAGTTCCTGCAGGCCAGGCGCAGTGGCTCACGTCTGTAATCCCAGCACTTTGGGAGGCCAAGACGGGCAGATCATGAGGTCAAGAGATTGAGACCATCCTAGCTAACATGGTGAAACCCCGTCTCTACTAAAAATACAAAATGTAGCTGGGCCTGGTGGCGTGTCCCTGTAATCCCATCTACTCGGTCGGCTGAGGAAGGAGAATCACTTGAACCTGGGAGCTGGAGGTTGCAGTGAGCCGAGATTGCGCCACAGCACTCCAGCCTGACGACAGAGTAAGACTCCATCTCAAAAAAAAAGAAGTTACTGCAAAGTGTTCCCAGGATCAATACACATGGTTGAATGAGGATAATAGGACTAAGAAGAGGACTGGGTTACAACAAAAGCCTCAACTAACCCCAAGACAGCTCTGAAGTTGGGACAGCCCTTTTAAGTTGTCCCACTTCGAGGCATGGTGTTTTCCCTTTTACCTACCAGTCTGGAGAAGACTGTTCCCAAGAAAAGAGCATAATTTTGGAGATGAGCGTTCTCTCTACCTGAGAACAGTGATCAGAGAGATACAAGGCTGAGAGGTGTTAGCTGCCAACAGTCCCAGCCACTAGGGGAAAGAGTGCCTCAGTCCTAAAGGGGAGATCTGAGGGACACACTACAACATCTTCAACACTGAATATTTGTTAAATAACTGGACAGCCATCACCATCTCCTTTAACTTGCATCCCTTAATGTGTGTAAGGACACAACCACTCTGAAAAGCATCGATACAGACAGGAATAACCAGATAAAATGGTTTTGAACAATAATTTGTCAAAATCCATTTGAAGGCTAGAGTTGAAAGCCGAAAGCATTTGAAGAGGTTTCAAACCATGCTTCCTTGGGTAGGGTGAGGTGAGATGAAAAGGGAGACGTAGGATGATGTTAAAGCTGGAAGAATTCCAAGCTTGACTTTATTCTATGTATGATTTCTCTAAAGGTTTGTCTTCAAAAGCACACCCTCAGAGTACACATATGTTTCCTAGGAGGGGAGGAAAGCCCCTCACCTTTTTTCAGGCTGTGTCTATTGAGGGGGATGCTAACAGGCCTGGACAACTTGGGCTGTGTCAGCAGCAGGCTCTCTGCCCCTGTTGGTTAATCAGCACACCAGGGTGCGAGCAAGGCAGCAGGCTGCCACAAGGGCAGGGCCGGGAAAGTTGAGTGTGGCATATACAGGAGGCTTGGACAGAAGCGCTCACAATATTCATTGCTAACAGGGTCCTCTGCTTCAAATCCCTGCTGCTCAGGGAGAACAAAAGAATTCATGGAGACTCAGGGCTCTTCCTGGAGTCTTGCACATAAGCAATAGCCATTCTTCATGGCTATAAGGCAGGATCGAGCCCTCAAGGCGTCTTTCCTAATTCCTGGCACCCTTGGATTACTGCAGACAAGCTTTCCATTCAGGATGGAAGGAGACCCCTGGGAAGCAGCACCTGCCCAGGGAGGGGAAGTGCTGGAGGAAGTTCCAAGCTGAGAACACAGGTTTACAGCTGGTTTATTATAAGTGTACTCTCTGTTCTCTTTCCAAACAAACAGCAGGATTGGGAATGACAATTCACCTCAAGGATTTTAAAAGAAAAGTGATGGAAATAAAGGGTGGTTAATTCACCTAAAACTCCAAACACAATCCGTGTTTTGGATCCATGTTATTTTGCCTCTAGGCTTTTTGTTTTTGTTCTTTGTCATTCAGTGACACCCTCTCCCTCCTTCTTTTCATGAAAATTCTGCCCGTTTTTTCTAAGGCCTGGCTAAAATTTCACCACTAAACTTATTCCAACATTTTCCAACTTCCCCTGACTACACATGCCTTTCTTGTGTAAAATCTTTCATTACATTAGGGTCATAGAATGATGAGAATCTTCATTACTAACATAGCTGACATTTATTAAGTGCCAATTATGTGCCTACACTGTGCTAAATGCTTTACATGGATTATCTTATTTAATGCTCAAAACAGGTCTATGAGTGAAGTCACTTTGTTAGCACCATATTCCATGTAAAGAAACTCATTGCCCCAGTTCTTTTCCTTGTCTGTATCCACCCCTTGGCCATAGGGGTTCTTCCCAGTAGATGTAATGCATGCTTCCCTGTTCATTGTCTTGAGTCTCAGCTGTGTGAGTTGCTTTGGTCAATGGGATATTCATAGCCATATGTCAGACAAACCTTGACATGGATTTGCACAGGGAGTTTTTCCTCTAGTGCTTCCACCATTGCCATGAGAATACACTCCAGTCAGACTGCAGATCCAATGGGGATAGCAGACATGGAAAGTAGACCTGAGCCCAGCTGCCAGCCTAGAACCCAGGCCAGCTAGATCGGCAACTTGAAGCCTAGGTTCCCAGCTGACTAGCTGCCTCTTGTGTAGTCACATGAACAAGAATAAATACTAGTCATTTTAAGTCACTGAGTTTTGAGGTGGTTTGTTACTCAGTGATAGTTTACCGATACAGGAACCCACCAAGAGGTTGTTACTTGTCCAGGGTCTTACAAGTAGTGATGATAAGAAGATTCTAGCACAGACTGGTTCCAGTTCAGCTCCCACTTTCTTAATAACCATGGCTTCCATTTTCACCACCACCACTACCATTATCATATTCTTCCTTCTCTTCCTCCTCCTCCTCTTCTCCTTCTTCGCCTTCATCCACATCCATTTACTGAATGCTTACTATGTGCCAGGCATCCAAAGAAGTACCATTCATGTATTATCTTATATATCAACAACTCGTTAATGTAAGTACTATTACTGACCACATTGTACAAGAAGTTTTGTGACACAGCTTGTAATGGACAGAGCATGGGTTCATTTCAGATCTGCCTCATCTCAGAGTTTTCATAACTTCCATGTTCTACTTCAATACACTGCTACATTTTGAGAGAAATCATAGCCATCACTAGAGAAAAATATTGATCACTTATGCCTCTTTATACCCCAACTTTTTCAGGAAGCCACCTCAAACCCCCCAAGGGTTGCTTTTGAAAGTTTTTGTCTTGCTTTTGAACATTTTTAAGAATAGTAAGGTCAGGTGCGGTGGCTCATGCCTGTAATCCCAGCACTTTGGGAGTCCGAGGCGGGCAGATCATGAGGCCAGGAGATTGAGACCATCCTGGTTAACATGGTGAAACCCTGTCTCTACTAAAATACAAAAAATTAGCCAGGTGTGGTGGCAGGCATCTGTAGTCCCAGCTACCTGGGAGGCTGAGGCAGGAGAATGGCGTGAACCCGGGAGGCGGAGCTTGCAGTGAGCCGAGATCGAGCCACTGCACTCCAACCTGGGCTACAGAGTGAGACTCCTTCTTAAAAAAAAAAAAAAAAAAAGAGAATACTAAGTTCAGTTTTCAAGCATCTGGAAGATCTGCTTTAAACTATTATTTTAGAAACAAGGACCCTTGGGCTTAGAGAAATGAATTTATATGCAGCAAATAGTAGAATATCCAAGGCCATACTCTGAATGCTCAACTTCAGCCTTCTGCTGGTAGGAGACCCCAGCCCATCTGTGTAGAGCAGAAATGGCAATCTGATGTCTCACTACTTAAGTAGAATTTCGTTTTTAGCTTTACTTTAGCCTTCACATCCAGAGGTGTCTGAAGGCAGGCAAGCTTCATGGGTGTGCAACCTGAACAGTCACATAAGGTTCTGCACTTAGAAGGTCCCCATACTTGGTTTAATACTGTACTGCCACCATCTTTAAATTCTTAATTATTTCAAAATAAAAGGGCTGCTCTTTTATTTTGCACTGAGCCTCACAAACTGCATAACCAGTCTTGCAGAGGTATCTGATGCTTTAATTCCATAGATTTTGGGGGATTCTTCAATATGCAGTGAGTTGCTTCTCAACTTTGCACTTTGCTGACTATCATCTATAAGGTCACAGGCCCAAGGAGAAGAATGTTAAGAACAGGATACTAAGCACCACCATAGTCCAACAATCCAGTGGTACCTCCATGCAAATACAGGTGTGGACTTCAAAATGCTGGCAGCCAGATTTCAGCCATTGATTAAAAGTGACCCTTCTTCATTTGAATACTCCCTTCTCCCATGCTCACAGGAGGCTTCACTACGTCTTTTTGCCATGAAGTCATTCCAAATTATCACCATCCTTGAATCATATTACCTTCATAAGAAGTCACTTTGAATGAATAACACTATTTTGACCCTGAGAATAATACAGAATGATCTTGAAGCTATTTTAATAAAAATAAATCATGAAGTATCTCCTTCCATTTTCCCTACCTTCATAAATAGCATAGTTAATAGATAGCCTTATAATAAAAGATGTCGGTGTAATGTAAAATCCACATAAAATATCAACCTTAACATCACAGTGGTACGAGTCAGCTAATTTCTCCTCCTATCCCAACCTTGTTCTTACATTCAAAACTTTTAAAAAAGATTAGATCAATAGAACTACATGTTGGCTGTGAAAAAAAGTGACTTACCCCATGAGATAGAAAAGACTAAAACCTCTATAAAGGTGAACTAATAGGAAACTATAAATGAATTGTGTTGCCACATAGAGTCATCTGAAAAAGTTTTATTAAAAATGCCTCCAAAGTATATTAGATTTTATATTATACCAGGTGGAGCTAGGATGAGGGAGTGAGTTTATAGAGGAACTGTTGAACACAATTTTATTAGAATGGTTGTTCCCCTGATTATAATAAGGAGAGAAATAAGACTTATTAGTTTGGTTATTTGAAACATGCACACATACACTTTCTCACACAACTCTAGTTCTGGGCAGGGTAAAAGTTCCCTTCCTCAGCTGAGAGTGAGCTTGAAAATGTTTTATTGCTATTACAGGAAACGCTGTTTAAGTATCGTCTTTTATAAAATGCTCCCATTGTAAGACACATTCTTGGTTTTATTTTCTGCTATGATGATGGTAAATTCTGATTAAACATAGGGGATTGTTTACAACACGGGGAAAGACCAGCATGCAGCCCTAAGCGATTTAAAGTCAGAAGTAGATAAGATATTTTAGAATGTCAAAGTAATTTGCCAAATACAACATGGGGAGAGGTAGAAGAAAAAAGGCATATTCTTTTATGTTTCATTCCTTAAGGGGGACATCTAAAACATGTATCGATTTAACATGGCTCGGAAATTAAAGTTATGATATCAATAACATATAGCTAACCACATGTCAGAATGAAGGAAGATTGTATCTTGGAATACAGGAGTCTTCCTTGTGCAAATCCCATTAGGACCAATAGGGAGTTATTCATGCATCCAAATCCCTCCCGTCCTTCCCCTCCCCACCCCCAGACACAGACACCCTTGTTCTGAATGATCCGTGTATTTATCTATTTCACATAAATCAAGAATTTAATTAAAAAAAATCCACAAACATGGCTATTTGAGAAATGAATCATGAGAGCTGTATGTATAAATCATATAGACCTTAAAAGCGTTTATGATATAGCCCCTTTCATATAAACCGACCAAATGTTTTGGAGAGCTAAATCATAGAGAAAAAGGAAAATGTAGTAAATAAAATAGAAAATCAATGGTTAAGCGAACTAATGAACAAAATATCTAGATGTCACTCATCTTTGAATGGCTTCCTTAGAAATTTTAACAGGAACAGGAATTGCAAGAAATTATTACTTTTGGTAAAGCAACTGAACATGTTTATAGTCAAAGATTTCTTTAAGAAATATTGCCAAAAAAACTTTTGCTAAGAAAAAAAAGGACAGTGGATTTAGAAGAATACATTAGAAATAAAAAGAGTCAGTAGATAACAAAAATATTCATTTGTCGTTACAGATCTGTTTACCAAATACTTGTTTATGATTTACTAATTCTAAATCTTCCTTTCTAAAAATGTTATTTTTCTCTAATTATTTTAATTATTTTGTTCTTTTTGCCAAAAAAATGCAATATAAAAATGTTTTCACTTATTTACCGTAAGTTTCAATCATAACTCTTAGTTTTCTAACCTTCTAAATTACTAGTGATCTGCATACCTTGTTGGATCATCAAAGACTTTTTATTTCTCTAGATGAGAATAACACTAAATGATAGTGTTTTCCATATTTTTCTCTTCAGTAACACATGTGTATGTTTATTTTGTATTTCCTCTCTGATTCTTTTATTGCCTAAAGCATTTAGCCGTTTCTGAACTAATTATGTTTCTAGGTTTATCTATTTATTTAGTATCTCTCTCACCAGACTAAGTTTCCTGACTGCAGAGACTTCGTATTTTATTGCTTTAGTGTTTAATATCATTTCCAGCATCACATATATATATATATATATAGGTTAGAAGACCAGTTGAATGTGTAGAATGAATTGATATTTGGGTAGCCAATAAAACTGATCAAGGTCCGTCTTTTTGGATGCACCTAGTTTAGCAAGCAGAAGATGTGTTTCCTAATGTGGCCTGGGCACAGTCTTTAGCCATTCACCTTTTTCAGGAATTGATTCAGCCTCTGCCCTTCCCAGAAGAGCCACATCCAGTGATTAATCAACATGGAAGTAACCAACTCGGGACAATTTTGAAGGGCTATTTCAGCTTTAGAGCCCCCTGTGAGTTTGGCCAAAGCTGCCAAGGGGCCTGTATCACAACTCAACTTCTCCATTTGCCCGTAATAAACATCTTTCATGCTAAACCAGTGAGGCTAATCTCCAAAAATGAAAAAGCAAAAAAAAAAAAAAAAAAAAGCAGAAACTCAGGCACCAAAGTGACTCAGGGTACTTCTTTTAGCCATTGAATCAAGTGGTCTCAGCCAGTTATAAGGACAAAACAAGCATTAGGAGAGATGCAACACAGCTGTCAATTTCAGGAAGGAGATGGTGGATCTGGATTATAGGTAGATAGGGTGTGCTATGAGGCTCAAGGCTGCCAGGTCTGAGGAGCCTTTAGTTCTCCAAAGTTTTAGGTCAGAGAGTATGGCCATTGGAGCAAATAACTAGTCTGCCTCACCCCTGCCTGGTTGAGAGAACTTGTTGGAAGACCTCTGCTTGGAAACAAGCACCTACATCTGGCCTCATCAGAGAAAGAGGGGCCTCCTGTGAGGGTCTTTTCAAATGCTGCACCTGCCCTGGTATGTCCTCAGGCTCTCCTTCTAGTTCCTGGGGCCTCAGTTTACCCACCTCTACATATTTCCTACATTACTTCAAAGAGGTGCTGGGAGACTTAATTAATGTTTGTCAAGCACATCTTATATGAAAGGAATCGTATGCAGTAAGTTCAAAGTAGTCTTGGCCCTGCTGTTTCTTTCATGTGTGCTTAGAAGATCTTTCAACCTTGATAAGAAGAAAAAAATAAATAAATCCCCACTTGCTGAAGTGCTTGGATTTGGACTGTCATATTATGATGCTGTCAGCATTTTCTTTGAATTTCACAGGAAAAAATGAATAAAAATCAGTCAAACAATTGCTTCCATAATCACATCATCATTCTCTAGGTGGTCAAGCAATTAATTCTCCTGCTTCTGTTCTTTCTTCTGCTTTTGCTCTTTAAATCCTCTGACTGAAACTTCATTTAGATCCTTATCACTGTCTCAAATATGGCAAATTTAAAGTCAGGCAAACCCCATCATGATAAGAGCGCCTTTCCTTAAATATATGGGTTTTTTATTTTGTTTGTGTCCACCCCATGCTCAAGTCCCATATGTGATTCCCATGCCTTCAGACTAAAACTCAATATTTTAGGAAGTTATTCTTAATGTGGTCCCTGTCTACATATCCAATCTCATTTCCCACCGCCATCCCTTCCAACACACACACAGCTTTGCCTTTAGTTCTCCAAAGTTTTAGGTTTTGGCTGCAGGCATAATACCTCAGTTCCCTTCATCATCTAAATCTCAGCTTTCACTTTCTTCTTCAAGACTTATCCTCCTCCTAACCCAATATATACCCCAACTTTCCTAACCTATGCATCCCTCCACCATATCTGGAGTGTGAAATAATCATTTTTGTATCTAGCTTACCATTGGTCTGCAGGTTCCCTAAGGAAAAGGGTGATATCTTTCATCTTTGTATCCACAGTGTTCCCAGGACACTAGAGATACTTGATACATATTTGTAGGATAAATATACATGAGTAAGCAGGGAGATGATGATGAGGCATTTTTAAAACCAATGGATTTCGGAAGCAAACTCTTTTCTAACCAAAAACAAGCAAACAAAGCAAGGGACCTGTTGGTTTTTGCATGAATGGATAATTCCACAAGAGTTGAGATAGAACAGGATGGAAAATCTGATGATCATTTTATATTTATTTATTTAATTTTTTTTTGAGATGGAGTCTTGCTCCATTGCCCAGGCTGGAGTGAAGTGGCACCACAACCTCCGCCTCCCAGGTTCAAGCAATTTTCCCGCCTCAGCCTCCTGAGTAGCTGGGACTACAGGCATGCACTGCCATGCCAGGCTAATTTTTGTACTTCTAGTAGAGATGGAGTTTCACCATGTTGGCCAGGATGGTCTTGATCTCCTGACTTCATGATCCAGCCACCTCAGCCTCCCAAAGTGCTGGGATTACAGGCATGAGCCACTGCACCCAGCCCTGGTGATTATTTTAAAATTGGAAAGTCTCTAAGACATAACTTCTGGAAAAATGTCACCATATTTCATTTGCAATTCATAAGGATGACAGGCAGGGCAATCAGCTAGTCAGATGGAGGAGGAAAAAACAACTGATTAATATCAATCTGCAACTAAATTCAGTGTGGGGCCAATAGCAGGAGAAATGAGAGACAGAACCTAAATGTTATCATTTATCATTTGTGCTGTAGGCCTAGGGTTTTGAAACCTGGGTGATCATTGGAATTGCCTGGGAAGCAGTTGAAAATACAGATCCCTGGGCTCCATTAGTGACCTAATGAATTGGAAACTCTGGGATGGAAAGGGAAGGGGTAGATGAGGGATCTGTATTATAAAAAGGGCTTCCATTTGATTCTGAAAATGAATGAATTTGAGGAACACTGACCTATGATTCATTCATTTATTCATTCAAAAATGTACTCAATCACTGGTTTTTTATCCACATATTCATTTATTCAATGAATGTTGGTGATAAAGAGAACAGAAAGAGGCTGGGCGTGGTAGCTCATGCCTGTAATCCCAACACTTTGGGAGGCCGAAGTGGGCAGATTGCCTGAGCTCAGGAGTTCAAGACCAGCCTGGGCAACATGGCAAAGCCCTATCCCTATTAAAATACAAAAAAATAGCCAGGTGTGGCAGCATGCACCTGTAATCTCAGCTACTGGGGAGGCTGAGGCAGGAGAATTGCTAGAACCCAGGAGGCGGAGGTTGCAGTGAGCTGAGATCATGCAACTGTACTCCAACCTGGGTGACAGAGTGAGACTGCATCTCCAAATAAATAAATAAATAAATAAATAAATAAATAAATAAATACCAGAAAGAAGGAACCTAAAAGAAGAGAAGAACAGCTCCTTTGTCTTTGTTCCTGGTGTTTTGTTTCTTTCTAGGTTTTTTCCTCAAGTTGCTTCTGATTTTTGTTATTATTTTATGAAACTCTCTCTCCATTTTGTAAGGCAGAAATGCTCCAAAATCACAAAACTCCTCTTTATCTTTCCAGGATTACCTTCCTTAAAGAGTAATCTGAAGGTTAATGCACCTTTCCCCAGTGTCAAAATCCACCAAAGAAAAATATTAACAAAGCTATGGAAACCTATGGACAATTATATTCTTCTCTGTCCTTTCTGCCCTTCCTTTCTTCGCCCCAGGCTGACATTCAGATTCTGCATCCAGAATGGCCTGAAGGAGGAGGAGGGTTATTACTCCTGGCAGAGAAAGCCTTAAATTACGGTGAATAAATGAATACTTAGCAGGCTGGTCCTGAGAGGGTGCCAGCTCTTGCTTTAATCATTTAGATAGAAAATGATATGGATTGTAAAATTCATGGAAGGTTCAACCTAAAGGGAGGGAACCTGGAGCAAGGAGGAAGAGGACTTTTCAAATAATTAAGAGAACCTAATAGAGTAATGTTCAGTTAACAAGACCTGTACCAGGTATGGCTTCCACTTCTGACCCTTCATGAGGGTTTTCTTCTTCCTGCCAAGAAGCCAGTGCTCGAATCCACACAGTACTCCAATACACTTTTATTATGCAGTGGAGCACCTAAAATCTTGCTATCTAGTTTAAAACCTGTCAAGGAGAGTAGAGGGAAGCACTAGAAACAGGAACTATGCAATCATAAACTTGTACTATGGGAGACACCCTAGTGAACAACAACCCCCTCACCACACTTTACTGTTTAGATTCTGGCTCCCTTTCAAATAAGAAAGGTACAATATAGCGATTATTATTATTATTATTTTTTTTTTTTTTGAGTTGGAGTTTCACTCTTGTTGCCCAGGCTGGAGTGCAATGGCACCATCTTGGCTCACCGCAACCTCCGCCTCCTGGGTTCAAGCAACTCTCCTGCCTCAGCCTCCCGAGTAGCTGAGATTACAAGCATGCACCACCATGCCCACTAATTTTATATTTTTAGTGGAGATGGGGTTTCTCCATGTTGGTCAGGCTGGTCTGGAACTCCCAACCTCAGGTGATCCGCCACCTCAGCCTCCCAAAGTGCTGGGATTACAGGCATGAGCCATCGCACCCAGCCCAATATAGTGATTATTTTTTAATGGGCAATAGTAATAATCCTTCTACTTAAATAGGATTTTCCACAGGAGGAAGCTTTGGGTTTAATCAATAGGATTCACTCTATTTGCCCACGGCTTAGAGGCCAGCAAAAGTTCAGCAACCTTCTTCAATTCACATGGTCAGTTGAGAATGATCCATTTGCAAAACTTAAACATCAAGATAATCCAATTCTGCGGAGGGTGCTGCCTGCTCTGCTGCCATATGAGGCATTTGTGTGAGAAAACCCAAGCAGCCAAAACTCATACCTAATCCTTGGGACTTGGAGATTTCATTTACCTTAAGTCTTTTGGGGTTGAGTTATCTTGGCAACCTGTAGCGTCTAAGCATGCAGTATCTGTATCAAGGAACGGCTTATAAAATTCATCCAAAAGGACTCCCAAGATTCTGGGGGCATCAAATAGCTCACACACAACATTTTGCAAGGAAATGAGTCAGCACTAGGTAGATTCCATTTTTCAAGTAGAGTGCTAGCTTCCTGTCCTACTATCTCCAGTCCTGGGAGGAGAGCCTCAACGGGGAGAGGAAGATTGAAGATTTTCTGGGCATGGTGAGCTTGGGTTTCCTTTGAGCCGTAAGTGTTTATGAAAACAATAAGGAATATTAGATAATATCAAAACATGTTCAAGATGACTTTGCTTTAGGCAAAAACCATGCATTTCTAAAGCTAGCCATGGGCCTCCTAAAAGTTCCTCTTTGTGGTCACTAACCCAAGTTGACTGACCCCAATACATTTAGCAACAAATGATGAGTTTACATTCATGTTCTCAGCACCAAATTCTTTAATCTTTAGCTTTGTAACTTAATAGATATACTGTGAGTCTTATAAATGAAGGAATACAAATAAGAACCAGGTCTATTTGGTATCTGTGATGCACCAGCTCTACAAGAGGGGCTTTTCCAGTAAATAAGATTCAAATTTACCAATATCCTTTAGAGTAGTCAGTCGTTATGAGATGGGCTGTGGAATGAATCTGTCCTAATTCATTCCCGGATCCTCCACCCATGGCTGGGTGACCTAATTTAACCCCTCTGTGCCTCAGTTTTTCGGTCTGTAAAGTGTGGATAAGAAGACCTTCTAGTTCAAATATCAAGTGTCTTAGGCCTGCAAACGAACAACTTTTTAGTAAACTTTTAGAGCAGCCTTCTAAAGCAATCAGGGAGGAGAGGGAAAGATACACAAAACAAGCCAGTTGGATTTTGCCAAAATCAGTTCCTTGTCCCTGTCAACCACCTGGCTTCATGGTCATTCCATGTCCCCTGTTTTCCCAAGGACATAATCAGGGATATAGCTACTTTGTGCCTCACTGCCCCTGGCTGTGGGCTTCCCTGGGGAGATCAAGATAGGCTTTATAAGTCCTTTGCCCCGTCATGAAACAGTACCCTGACTACACACTCAGCCTGGTCTGGTATGAGCACCCACTTCCAGTCTAGACGGCAGCCTAAGAGAGGGGCTAATGCTAGGTTGCACCAGACTGAGCCTCATACTTGTCATGGCTCTGCCCACGGTGATTCCTTTGATCTTGATCCTAGCAAACCACAGTCATCGACAAAGGTAGAATGGATTTCTGCTTCTGAAAAGCTTTGATGGAAACTCCCTTGATTTCCCATTCCCTCCCCAGCCCTTCTGCTCCTTTAGATTTACCTCCAACATTTAGTCCTAAATCCAGCTGTAAATCCAGCCTGAGAGAGCCCATCAAACCGGCATGATTCATGTGCCATCCTGTTTGGATATCTGGGGCCATAGCTGACCCACTTGGGAAAGTACACGGTCATTTTTACTTCGCCAGGCATCCTAATCACAGATTCCAGGCTCAGTATTCTTTGTTTAATTTTCTCTGAGAATTGGCTGGACTGTGATCTGATCCTCAGAGAAAGGCAATCATTTCTAAAGGGTAGATTTTTAGAAAAGTTTGCAATTACAAACAACGAAAAATATATGCAGGCTTTCTGCGGTTATGCTGAAGGAATGTGCAGGACATCCATGCCCCTGTCATCTCAAGGCTCTCTTCTAAAATCAGGACCTGTTTCCAGGGCTCTTTGCAGCAGTGTTTCCCTTTCATTTCTTGTGTGAAGAAAGGAAGTAACTTGAGAAAGCAACTTTTAAGAAACTTGAAACACGTTTACTTGTTTCCCAGGCTTCAGGTTAGGGCTGATGGCTCCACAAAGTAAGTGCAGCCAGATTCATGAAACTCGTAACGTTTTGGAGGTGATGTCTAACTGACCGTCTCATTCTACAAATGAGAGCACTAAAACCTTGGAAAAGCTAAAGCTTGCTGGAGGCCTAAGTGATTTCACAAACAGAGCTTGTCTGGAACTTAGTACTTTTAATTCCTAAGCCAGTGCCTATGCCCTAAGCCAATAGGTAATCCAGTGGGCAGTGGTCCCCAAGGCAGGCCAGGCCTGAGCTACTGATAACCCTCTTTATCCCAGTCCTGTGAAACATCAATTTCAGTTAATGCCAATAGCTTCAGGGGCAGTTTTTCAAAGCCCTCTCTCCAGGACATCAGCCTGGATGCAGAGCACAGAGAAATAAAATAATTTACATAGTTTACTAACTCTAAAACTCAGAACTGAGAAGAGAAAGGGCCAGTTTTTCCATATGCAGACTTCAACCTTCTCAAGACCCAAATGACAGGTAAAAATACACATTCGAATGTCTCTCCTTGCACACACACCGTCAAGACCACTTTGCCTTCCCTCTTTCCCAAAGCGAAAGAATGGATATGCTGGGAGTGTTTGGTAGCCTGCTATCAGAAGAAAATAGAGACATCATCATTTTCCCTTTTTGACATTTTTTTTTCCTGCCAGTAAAAGAGAGAGAAACTTGCTTAGGGATCAAAATATTAGCTGGAGAAAGAATTTACAGGGGTGCTGGCAGCTGGTTGGCTGTAGAGGGAGAAAGCCTGTGGGGTGTGGACCGCCAGTCTCGGAAAAGCGCACTGCAGAGCAGGGTGCAGGAGAACCCAGCAAAGCAGGATTTGACAGGTGCCTGGCTCAGGCTCCCACTGGCCAGGCAATCGTCAGCTCTGTTCTGCTTGGCTCTCTTAAACAACAAGTTAAGAGCCAGCTGCTTTCTGCGCTTGGCTCTGAAATCAGCAGGTCTCTCTGCTCTGTTCAGCGGAGGCATCCCCAGCAGGGAGTTAGTCAGGGTACTGGCTAGAGCCTTCATGCCTCAGAGTAAAGGCTTATGAAGGAGGTAATTACGCAGCTGGAAATGGGCAGGCCCTTAGGGCAAAAGAGAAAGAAAGGAAGGTGATCTTCTCACTTACTTAATGCTTAAAAGAAAAAAAATACCCTATGCCTGTCAAAGAGAAGCATCCTAGTATTAGTGGTGCTATGATCAGAGATCCCCTCTCCCTTACCCATTGTGTGGTTACTAAATCAACACAGGAAGCCTGTCCACAAGACTTCAATGTCAACATTGCCCGCCCCTACCTGACCACCAATTTTGCATTGATTAGCTTCCATGATTCCCTGTCAGGCAATTTAGTTGTTTAGTTGCTGGTTAGTTGTTTCTATTTTCCTGAGCATTCTTCTCAAACCTGTTCCCAATGTTTATACTCTGGAGCTACTGACCACCCTTTCCTTTCCCGAACTCTTCCACTGTCATCAATTCCTCGAGAGGTCAACATTACTGCGGGCAGAAGGAAAGATGGCTGACCCTGGCCCTGGACTTCCTTCCCTCTGACACACTGAATACCCTTCGTCAAAAAACCATAATCCAAACTGCAATGTTGGTGCCTATAAGAGAGCTAGTCCCGCTCTCCTCAGAGAGCCCAGCTTGGAGATTTCTGATGTTGAAGTTACCTGCCAATTAGAATGGCCACATTGCAAAATCCACGTGTATTTTACACAGAACAGCCACTTCAGATCTTCATTCACTCAAGGGCCTGCAGTTGTATCTGTTAAAGGTGTCACAATAAATGAACTCATTAAAGTACCACTCGTTTTTTTGATTTCTTGCAAGGTTAGCAATTAGAAATTTTTTTCCTTAGCTTCAGAAAACGTTCTTTAAACAAAAGCTTGCTTGGAAGAGATAAACTGGCAACTGCTCTGGTTGAGGAAGAAGTAGTGGGGTATTCTGTGCTCTGGCCCTTAGTCCCGTGAAGCATGATTTAGGAAACTAATTTGTCCTAGTGTCTCCCTTTTTTTTTTTTTTTTTTTTTTTTTTTTGAGACGGAGTCTCGCTCTGTCGCCCAGGCTGGAGTGCAGTGGCGCAATCTCTGCTCACTGCAAACTCCGCCTCCTGGGTTCACGCCATTCTCCTGCCTCAGCCTCCCGAGTAGCTGGGACTACAGGCACCCGCCACTACGCCCAGCTAATTTTTTGTATTTTTGGTAGAGATGGGGTTTCACCATATTGGCCAGGATGGTCTCCATCTCCTGACCTCATGATCTGCCCGCCTCGGCCTCCCAAAGTGTTGGGATTACAGGCGTGAGCCACCGCGCCCGACCTAGTGTCTCCCATATTTGAACACTTCTTCCTTTCATGCTTGCCTCTTTGGAATATTCGTTTATTTCATAAAACTTAAGGCTATTTTGACATCTTTTAAAATTGCATCAAACAACTTTACTTTCTCCTCAAGTTATGTTATGATTGTCTGTTGTTACTCAATGCAAAATAGTCATTTCCCATCAAGTTTCTTTTGTTTCCACTCAATGTTTTCTCTCCAACTCACCAGCATTTCCTAGCTGCCATTCTTTCTCTTCCCAATTTGACACTCTTTTCATCCAGCTTGGTCTGGCTTCCAAATCACCCTTTCTTAGTACTTTCATCCTACAACAACATTTAATTTAGTATTTTGTGGTTGAAATGATCCAGAGAGGATCAGAGAATTGGAGTGACTTGCCTAAGATCACACCACTAATATGGCAGAGTAAAGACAGAACTCAAGCTTTTCAACAGCTTGGCTCCCCTTTCTTCCTCTTTTGTTCCTCTACTGGCTCTTTAGTTCTCACTCTGGTCCACATGTGTATAGACCCAGTCAATAGTTTCTATGGATATCCTGACTGCCCCTATAAAATAAGTGGGTTGCATTAGCAATTTCCAATGTCATCTTTCAGCTTCATCTTTCTATGAGGAATGGGAGTGGTTAAGATCATTGACACTGATCAAA